>NC_000011.10:58464467-58767498 GCF_000001405.40 Homo sapiens | reverse complement strand
ACATACTATGGAACTTTTACATTGTCCTCTGCTAAATTTTTAAGGTAGTTAGATTTTTCCTTGGAAAACTGATATTTAGGGAAATTAAGTATCCTGCATAAAGTCACAAAGGGAGTACACAGATTGTAGTATAGGGACTAGAATACAAAGAAAATTAATGATAAATTTAAAACCATAACAATATAATTTTAAGAATCTAATCTATATTACAGATTTTAGAATATTGTAACAGACCAGAAAATTATTTAGTATTTCCTTCTAAAGTTTTGCTTTATATATATAATATATATAAAGGGACATACAAACGACTACGTATCTAATTAAAATTTATGTCTTATCTTCTCTGACCTTTTTTATATTCATTTTAATACTCTCTCATATGTCAATATAATATCATAGTTTTCACATTAATGAGTTTAATGTAGTAAAATAATTATAGATCATTATTTAGGTAAATTATCTTTGTAGAGAGACATTGCAATTGTGTTCAATATTTACCCATAGTTAATACTGCTTTACAAAATTTTTTATAAAGCATGTTTCTTCAGCAAATTTTTTTTTTTGCATAAACTCCAAGTACTGGAATGGCTGTGTTGAAGGTTTCAAAATGCCCTCTATAAGACTTTGTCCATTGCCAGTGTTTGCAATCCCCCAAAGTGTGCCAGCTTTTTTCAACCTCCTCATTTTATAATCAACTGCATTTGTTGAACATCACATTTGTGTTTTCAGTCTGTGCGTGTACATATGCAGAAGGTTGTACCAAATGTACTTGGCAATATACTACTATTATATTCCCAGTAATTGGGCATTAAACTATTTTTTTGTTTCATTTCCTATATTTTTATTATTTTTTTTATTTCAGTAGTTTTTGGAGTACATGTGGTTTTTGGTTACATGAATGAGTTTTTTAGTAGCGAACTCTGAGATTTTCATGCACCCATCACCTGAACAGTGTACACTACACCCAGTGTGCACCACCAGTATTTCTCACTGCCTTCCCAACCTCTCCCACAAGTCCCCATAGTCCAATATATTGCTCTGTATGTTTTTGCTTCCTCATAGATTAACTACCACTTATAAGTGAGAACATACGGTATTTGGTTTTCCATTCTTAAGTTACTTCACTTAAAATAATGGCCTCCAGTTCTATCCAAGTTTCTGCAAAAGACATTATTTCATTCTTTTTTATGGCTGAGTAATATTTCATGGTGTATATATACCACATTTTCTGTGTCCACTTGTTGGTTGATGGGCAGTTAGGATGGTTCCATATCCTTTCACTTGTGAATTGTGCTGCTATAAATATGCATGTGCAATGTCCTTTTCATATAATGACTTCTTTTGCTTTGGGTAGATAACCAGTAGTAGGTTTGCTGGATTGAATGGTAGGTCTACTTTTAGTTCTTTAAGGAATCTCCATACTGTTTTCCATAGTGGTTGTACTAATTTACATTCCCACCAGCAGTGTAAACGTGTTCCCTTTTCACCACATCTATAATTAAAAAGTCAAAAAAAAAAAACAATAGATGTTGGTGTGACATTAAACTCTTACTTTTCTTATTTTCATTAATCTTCTGAGATGTGTCTAGCTGAGGTGCCAAATATGCCTTCAGAAATGTTATATATATGCTATTTTGAGGCTGAGACTTGACATGGCTGTCTATATTTTTGTCTGAGCCTTTTTTCAAAGGAACATCTGGTACAAATTTCCATGCTCAACATATAATTGGCCTTCAATAGGTACTTTGTCTTAGTCCATTTGGGCTGCTATAACAAAATACCATAAACTAGGTCTTTCTGTGTCTTCCCATGATAGAACAGGCAGCCTCACGACCTAATCCCCAAATGCTTCACCTTGTAATACCAAACCCTTGGGGGTTAAAATTTCAACATACAAATTTTGGAGGAATACAAACATTGGGACCATCACTTCCTTAATGAATGAATTAATGAATCCTTGCAATCAATAAGTGGAATGACTAAATAAATGGTTATGTTAATAAAAATACTTCATGTACTCAATTATTAAACAGATATTTATTGAGTTCTTAATGTGTATCAGACTGTGGTAAACATTAAGAATGAAAGAATAAATAGTTTAATGCTTTGTCTAGAGGAATTCACAGCCTAGAAGGCAAACTGTAATCCATTGTAACAGGTTTTGTGATTGCAATATGTACACAATTCTAGGGCAGAGCAGAAAAGAGAATGATTAATTCTGCTTGGATCGAAAAATCACAAAGGGAGTCAGTTGCAGAAATACTGACATTTGAGAAAGACTTTGGCAAAGGAGTAAAAACTGGATTTTGAAAGTAGTGTAGAAGTAGGGCATAAGTATGATGAACAAAAGCCAGAAATGCCAAGGCAAATACTGAGTTAAAGAAATGTTCTGTGATCTTGTGTGGAAGAGAGAGATGACAGATGAGGCTGATAGACCAAACGTTTATTGTTAAAAAAAAATCATTTGTAGAAACTAAGTGAATCCTACCAATCTAGGCTTCTTCCCCCCTCCAGCAACTACAATCAAAATACAACCAGTGCCTCAGTGGTTCCAGGAAAGACTCTCCTCCCCTAAAATCACAAAGATAACTCAAGGTTAAGTGAAAGGTCTGTTGTTGCCCTTAAATGACAGATAAAAAACCTGGACAAAGGGGAAGATGCATGAAAAAAATTACAGCATTCATTAATCCAAGCCTTCCCCATCATGTTAAAATAGCAGGATCAAAAACATAGTGGTATCTTTGGTATCTGGGGGCAATAGATGCAAACTAATACTAGTACTATTTCTGCAATTACAGATTCTATTTAATTATCCTGAAGGACCAGTTTTCCTAAAGGGTCAAAATATAGGAAAAAAGTCCCTGAACACAGTGACTTTGCAGTTGGGAAGCAAAAGTCAGCAGAGAAGTCAGCCAAGTTAGTTGATAAGCTAAGTCAATGGACACTTAAGATAAATGGGGCATGATTTAAACAAATGATCAGAAAAGCAGAAAGTAGCAAAGAGATAAATGAATTGGGACAACAGTGACTTTTTTTCTGATAGGCAGGATTTTGCAAATCCCAAATTTGAATTGAATCACCATCTGAATCTAACAAGAACACATCTTCCCATAGTTCCTAATACAAAGACTTAACCAGTTGTGTTACTCTATTCTAAAGACATGCACAGGACTGGGTAATTTATTTTTAAAAAGAGGTTTAGTGGACTCACAATTCCATTTGGTTGGGGAGGCCTCACAATCATGGCAGAAGGTGAAAGGCATGTCTTTTGTTTTTGTTTTTGTTTTTTGAGATGGAGTCTCACTCTGTTGCCCAGGCTGGAGTGCAGTGGCACGATCTTGGCTCACTTGCAAGCTCCGCCTCCCGGGTTCACGCCATTCTCCTGCCTCAGCTTCCTTAGTAGTTGGGACTACAGGTGCTTGCCACCACGCCCGGCTAGTTTTTTTAAATTTTTTTTTAGTAGAGACGGAGTTTCACTGTGTTAGCCAGGATGGTCTCGATCTCCTGACCTTGTGGTCCGCCCACCTCAGCCTCCCAAAGTGCTGGGATAACAGGTGTGAGCCACCACTCACAGCCAAAAGGCATGTCTTACATGGTGGCAGACAAGAGAGAATAAGAGAGCCAAGTGAAAGAGGTTTCCCTTTTAAAACCATCAGATCTTGTGAGATTTATTCACTACCAGGAGAACAATATGGAGGGAACCGCCCTCATGATTCAATTGTCTCCCTCTGGATCTCTCCCACAACACATGGTAATTATGGAAGTTACAATTCAAGATGAGATTTGGGTGGGGACACAGCCAAACCATATTGTTCCATCCCTAGCCCCTTTAAAATCTCATGTCCTCACATTTCAAAACCAATCATGCCTTCCTAACAGTCCCCCAAAGTCTTAACTCATTTCAGCCTTAATTCAAAAGTCCACAGTCCAGAGTTTTATCTGAAGCAAGGCAGGTCCCTTCTGCCTATGGGAGCTTGTAAAATCAAAAGCAAGCTAGTTACTTTGTAGATACAATGGGGGTACAGCCATTCCGAACAGGAGAAATTGGCCAAAGCACCTACCAGCCCAGTCACTGCTTGATGTCAAGAAGTGAGTTATAAAAAAAATGGCTGCTTCTTCAATTTTGCCCTCCAAATCTCCCATAAAAATCTCTCCTGTGGCCCACCCTAACTGGAAGTGTGCAGGGAAGAGAATTTCAGGAAATGTTTTTCAGTCTTGGCAAGGTGACATCTTACAAAGTCACCACAGTAAGTTCTCAGTCAAGACTTATTATATGATTGCATGAGTAAATAGATTGATACTCAGGTTTCCAGGTTTGTCACAAAGGTCAATTTAACTTATAACAAAGCTATACCAAAGTATTTTTAAATAAAAACAACTTCAGATTTAGGTAAGGAGAAATTTTATTTAAAGGAGTGTTGCAAGAGGGGAGAAAAAGACTTCTGCGATAGGAAGAGGGAGACAATTTCAATAGGGAGAACTCAGACCATAAGATCAAACATCTAAAAGGTCAGGAAGAAAAGAACTGTTCTTATATGGTGAAGAGTAAGCAAGGTCTATGGAGTGTCTTTTGTTTGGAGTAAGGAGGCTCTTTCTGCATGCTATTGTTGGCTCTGGCTCTGGCTGAGGGTGGGTCAAAGTTCAGGGTCCCATAGGGAGGACAGAAGGTTAACTAAAGTTTGGTCAAGTTGGTTAACAAGCACTTTGTTCTTATGGATCAGTGAAGATGAACAATTTAGTTAATCATTTATAAGGGAGGAATAAACAGGGCTACGGAGAACACCATGTGAGGATGTGGGATGAATATTTTATCCTGAGTTCAATCTATTCTTGGTAGGGGCTCTTAAGGAAGTGTTCTATGCTGACTTGGCCTTGGGGAAGAAGAGAAAATTGACCAAATTAAACAAAACTTAGTTAACATTTCTTAACTTCTCATTTGTCAGTGGCGATAAGCAGTTCAGCTAATCATTTATGAAGCAAAATTGGGATTTTGGAGCTTCTGTGCCTGGTCTTGTCATAAGTAAACAAGGAGGACGTCTGTGAGCCCTAAGTCAGACGGGGCTGGATGTCAGAAAAGGGGATTGATTACAAAGGGACACACAGTTTTTGGAGCGTTGGAAATGGTCTATATGATAATTTTGGTGCTAGTTACACAAATATATGCATTTATCAAATTGCATAAAATTATCCACTTAAAATTAGTGAATTTTATTGTATCTAAATTATGACTCAAAAATCTGAACAATAACACAAAAAATTGCAGAGCTTTTTTAGAATACAGATTTATAGACTGCATACCCTCTCACCAAGTCTTCTAAATAAAGAATAGTAGAAGCAGGGTTAAAATATATACATATATATATGTGTGTGTGTATATATATATATACACACATATATATATTCATGTAAACTATAAAATATATGTAAATATATACATATATGTGTGTGTGTATATATATATACACACACACACACAAATACACATATTTTAATCCTCAGATTGTTCTAACACATAATCAAATTTGAAAATTTTGCGTTACATCATTTTAATGTCTTCTATATAAGGACTCATCAGAAAAGTTTTTTTGTTTTTCTTTTTTGCAGGATGGGAGTCTAGTAGCAATAAAATATATGATTTATTTAAGGGATAATGCTAACAATAATTAAAACAGCTGACACATATTGAGTACTACTCAAGCCAGGCATTCTACTGAATACTTGAAACATTAGCTCCTTTACCACATGCCAGATTGCAAAGATTACTCTTACTTAATATTTTTCAGTTTGTTTCAAATCTACAACAAATTGTTGTGCAGAAGAAAAGTCACCCAATAGACTTTTTGGGTGTGGGTTAGCTGCTGCTTTTCCCAATGACAATAATATAAAGAGTATTAATAATCATAATCACTCATGGGATGCTTACTATGTCCCAGATGCTATTCCAAGCACCTTGTAGGTCTTGATTTATTTAATTGTCTCAACTACTCTATGCAACAGATACTAAAGTCATTGCCATTTATAGATGAGGAAACCAAGGCACTGAGGAAGTAAGTAATTGCTCAATGTCATACAGCTTCTAAGTGGCACAGTCAGACTTGTCTTGGATGGAAACCTAATTCAAAAGATGCTTGTGCATAGAGAATGTATTTGTTAATCTCAGTACACCCTTGATTATTGGAATTCTGGGCAATATAAACATTTTGTAAGTATTTTTAAAAGTTTTAAAAATGATATTAAAATAATTTATGAAAGAGGTACCTGTACTTTCCACCAGTCTTATTTTTTCTTGGAGTTTGTGAGAAGTTTAGTGAATAGGGCACCAATAAAATAGTAGGAATGGAGGCCAGGCCATTCACTAGAACTGCCTATTGTGCCTGTGTATCTTCCAGCTCTTCTCATTCCTTGATGTTTTTTGATCCTCTGTTTAGTTAAGGTACCTGCCAAGATGTTCCATTTGCAGAGTCCCCATGTACTGCAGATGCTAGAGAAATCCATGAGGAAGTGCCTCCCTGAATCCCTAAAGATGAGAGTGGAACAATTTTAGGGAACAAAGGACTAATAACTACCTATTAAAAATGTGGGAAAGAGAACAAGCATTCACTGAGCACCTATTCTGAATTCCAAACATATACTGTCAACAAATTTTTGACAAGGATACTAAGAGGACACAAAGAGAAAAAAAATAGTCTCTTCAATGAATGGCATTGAGAGAACTCTGGATTTTCACACCCCAAAGAACAAAATTGGATGCTTATCTTACACCATATACAGAAATCAACTCAAATGAATTAAATATATAAATTTAATACCTGAAACTATAAAATTATTAGAAAAGAACACAGGAGAAAACCTCCTGGACATTGGCTTTGGCAAGGATATTTTGAATATCACACCAAAAGTTTAGGCTACAAAAGCAAAATTTAACTAAATGGGACTATATTGAACTGAAAATCTGCACAGCATTTGCAACAATCATCAAAATGAGACCGCAGCCTATGAATTGGGAAAAATATTTGCAAATTATAAATCTAATATGGGGTTAATATCCAAAAGTTATGAAGTACTCATATGATCTTACAACTTAGTAGTAAAAAAAAAAGCAAACAAGAAATATAAAAAGGACCTGAACAGACATTTCTCCAAAGAAGACATAAAAATTGCCAAGAAGTATATGAAAAGGTACACAACATTATTAATCTTCAAAGCAATGAAAATTAACCCTACTATGAGATACTACTTCATAGCTATTAGGGTGGCTATTATCAAAAAGTCAAAGATACAGTTTAATGAGAGCGTGAAGAAAATGGAAGCTTTGTTGGAACAAATGTATGTGGGGCAGTCATTATGTAAGACAGTATGGAAGTTTCTAAAGAAAGTAGAAACAGAAATACCACATGACCCAACAATCCCTCTTCTGGATATATATGCAAAGAAAATGAAATCATTACTTAGAAATGATATCTGCACTCCCATATTTATTGCAGCATTATTAAAAATAGCCACGATATGGAAACAATCTGAGTATCCATCAATGGATGAATGGATAAAGAAACTGTGGTATATGTATAAAAAAATAGAATATTATTTCAGCCTTAAAAAGAGAGATGTTACCATTTGCCACAATATAAATGAAACCGGGGAACATTATGCTAAGTGAAATAAGCCAGACACAGAAAGAAAAATAGTGTGTGATATCACTTATATGTAAAATCTTTTTTTAAAAAATGTCAAATATACAGAGATAGAGAATAACACAGTGGTTACCAGGGGTAGGGGAGGGGAGAAGAAATGTGAGAAATCTGGGTCAAAGGATACATAGTATCAGATATGTAGGATAAATACGTCTAGAAGTCTAATGAAGACTATACATAATAAAATTGTGCTGTATTTGGGATTCCTGCTCAATGACTAGATTTTAGCTGCTCTTGCCGCAAAAACAAAACAGAACAAAAGTTAACTATGTGAGATGATGGATATATTAATTTACTTCACTATAATAACCATTTTACTATCCACATATGTCCCATATCATGTTATATACCTTAAATATATATAAAATTTATTTTTTAAAAAATCACCAAATAAAACAATATAAAAATGAAATATTTCAAATTAATTATTAAAATCTAGAAATGGAATAATATTAGATCTTAACAAACACAAATTGTTACTGGTATTCTTGCTGAGTCGTGAGTGCCTATCTGTGCAAAATTTTTCCACTATTCTACCCTATCTGGGTAGTTGTCCTCTGGGTCTTCTTTCATCTTCAAATCATCCTACCTTATATTTGTTAACTTTGAGAAGACCTTTTTGAACAAATTTTATGTTTTGATTTTGTTGGATATGTAATTTTTTTTAACAATAGTGCATCATAGTCTACGTTTTAAAGACATCATGTGTATTCATTTTTGTATAGCTTTATCACATATAGATGAAAATTTTGATATTGTCACATTAATAATACATTTGTTCTGAAACACTTTGAAATAGAGCAAAATTTATTCTTGCAACAGAAGCATGACTTTGACAATAATACTTTTCTTTGTCCTGAAGATTACAGAATTAGAGAACGTTTTGTAAGCCAGTGCACATTTAGTTGACCTAAAATTGTAATCCAACTTATAAATATTTGACTCAGCAGGATTTTTTTCCACATAAGTTGAATAATCGATCTCCCAACTTAGTTTCATGACATACATAATTCAGAAATAATGATTGCACATCAAAAATTGATATTTAAGTTTGCAAATAGCAAAGTATAATAAAATACTGAATACAAATATTGCAATCACTTGGTATAAGCAATTTGGTATAAGCAATTTGATTTATTCCATGTTGCCCAAACAGGAGATGACAGATGACTTTGATCACTACACCAACAGCTACCATATCTATTCTAAAGATCCCGAGAACTGTCAAGAATGCCTTGACATGTCAGGTATCATCAACTGGAAACAACATTTGCAGATCCAAAGTAAGATGACTAAGATATATTCTGGTTTCTGGGACTACCTGTGTCTACATTGCAGGTTCACTTTCGTCTGGAGAGAATTCTCTTACAAACTTTACTTTCTTCTACCAATCTCCAAACTCTTAGCTTGATGTTCATTCCTTTTATCAGCTGCCACCACCTCTTCAGTAGAGCAGGATTCAAATATTGCAAACTTTGGGGTTGATATAAGGAACTATTAGTAATATAATTTCTTGTTAGCTGAGGACTCATGATACAGTTTGCAGACACATTCAGAATCTTTTAGGGAGATTAGATGTGAGAGCTGAGCTTCTTCTCTGGTCTTCCAGTGCTGGAGTAAGGACCATAGCTCATTGTGTCACACAGCACCTCCCAGGTCAGCAAGGATGACGATGGTTACAGTTATGAGCATACCTCCTAGAGTCAGACTCCCCAGGGTGGCATCCTTGCTCTTCTTCTTACTTCATTTGTGATCCTTTGCAAGTGTCTTAACTATTACTCAGTTTCCTCACATATAAACATGAGGATAGTAAAAGACCCTAATGCATAGGGTCAATGTAAGGAATAAAAGTATTAGATCAGTACCTGGGCATGTAGTATGGGCACAATCAAGGTGGGCAACTGTTTTTTCTTTAAAAAATACTACTTTTCCTTTGATTTCACAACGATACAGTCAGGGTTTCTAGTACTATCTCTGGCCTAAAAGAAAATTTGCTCAGGGAGTCACTTGCTTATAGTCACACAGTTAGTGGCAACATCCAAAGCAAGACTGTCTCACTCTAAATTCCATCTACTTCCATCAGGCAACTTCCTGTAGCTTCTAAATGGGCATTTACTTCACTCCTGTCTAGGCTCACAGTCCAGACTGAATGAGGTAATACAAAGTCTTGTAGCTGCTAAATTGGTCAAAGTCAAAAGATCACAATGCCAGCTTTATGAAATGCCTGAGACAGCAAAGAAACTGGTTCCCTTTCTGCTAGAGACAAAGAACTTATGTTATAAATCTGGAATACTTAAGGCCATGTAAGTTTAACAAAAGATGCTCTGCACTACTCACATCTTTTTCTACTAAAGTAGCCTCCAAGATTCTCTTCCTGTGTTCACTCTTGCCTTCCTAAATTCCATTTCCAGGGTGATTCCTTTAGTATGTATTGTAGATTATGTCATTCACTTGCTTATAAGCCACCAATGTTTCTCAGCTCACTTTGAATAAAATCCAAACTCCATTATGGGTCTTGAAGGCCCCACAAGAACTGCACCCATCACCTCTTGAACTTCATCTTGTCCTTATTGCTCATGCTCACCAGCAGCTTGAACCTTCTTTCTACTACTTGATTCTCATGCACTCACACATACCTTTGAGCCATTGGATTTGTTTTTCATCTGCCTATAAAATTATTCCCTCTGATCTTCTTTTCTCTTTGCCTTTCATAAAAATATCATTTCCTTTGACACTTCTTTTCAGAGCACCCTATCTAAAACTACCCCTCCCATAATTCGCCATTATAAAACCCAATTTTTATTTTCTTTATTGCACTTATAATTACTGAAATCAGCTTACTTGTGTATTTATCTACCTGTGTGTTGTGTAAATTCTCCTCCACAATATTTCAAGTCCCATGAGAGCAGAGATCCTCTCTATACTGTTTACCGATAGATCCTCATAGCCAGAACCGTGCCTCACACATAGTATGTGCCTAATAAGTATGCACTTAATACATTCATTTTAACAAAAAGTGTTTTTAGTAAAAATAATGTAAACCAATTCTATATTTTCCCCATTGATTTATAGTCAAATACTTAGTAGAATTTCAAATTGCTGACAAAGATTTCATTTAGAGATGATTAATCTCATGGTCCTCTGTGTGTTAATGTGCCTGGAAGAGCTTTATTCACTTTGTAAAGCACCTTACAGCCCGAAAAGCACCTCTACATCCAGAATCACTGTATCCTCTTGTCCATCCTATGAGATAGATAGGATAGGAGACATTCTCTCCATTTCCTGACAGAAAGCAGACTCTGATGATGAAGTGGTTTGATAACCACATACTTGATTAAGGGTGTAACTGGGGCCTGAGTCTAGATCCAGTTCCACAGTTTGGGCTCTTTTCAGAAAGACTCCCAATCCTACTCCCAATCCCCTTTACACCACTTCAGGAGCCTTCAGACTTCAGTCCTCTTTAACACGGGTCATCTGCATTCCATATCGTTGCCTCTCTCTATACTTCAGCTTTCCCATTTGTTTAACACAGTGGCCAAGGATGCTCTGACACCAACATTCTAAGATTTCATGATTCTAAGCTCTGGCTTTACTGCCTATTAGCATGTACTTTGAGGAATCATTTATTTTCTGTTTACCCATTTTTTTCATCTATAAAATGGGGCTGATATCATCTGTCCCATCTTACACAGCAGGCCACAGAAACATCAAGAAGAACAATATTTAACTTTTATAAAATTTTAATTTTTATGGCACTGTTATAGCTCCTTGTCATGCAGTAGTTCTTATAATATCCATGTCTGTCTTTGATGGAGTTTTTTTATTATGATACTTTAAGTTATAGGGTACATGTACACAATGTGCTGGTTTGTTACATAGGTATACATGTGCCATGTTTGTTTGCTGCACCCATCAACTCATCATTTACATTAGGTATTTCTCCTAATGCTATGCCTCCCCAAGCCTCCCACCCCATGACAAGCCCTGGTGTGTGATGTTCCCCGCCCTGTGTCCAAGTCTTCTCATCGTTCAATTCCCACCTATGAGTGAGAACATGCGGTGTTTGATTTTCTGTCCTTGTGATAGTTTGCTGAGAATGACGGTTTCCAGCCTCATCTGTGTCCCTACAAAGGACATGAAATCATCCTTTTTTATGGCTGCATAGTATTCCATGGTGTCTATGTGCCACATTTTCTTAATCCAGCCTAATATTGATGGACATTTGGGTTGGTTCCAAGTCTTTGCTATTGTGAATAGTGCCACAATAAACACACATGTGCATGTGTCTTTATAGCAGCATGATTTATAATCCTTTGGGTATATACCCAGTAATGGGATTGCTGGGTCAAATGGTATTTCTAGTTCTAGATCCTTGAGGAATCACCACACTGTCTTCTGCAGTGGTTGAACTAATTTATACTCCCACCAACAGCGTAAAAGCATTACTATTTCTCCGCATCCTCTCCAGCATCTGTTGTTTTCTGACTTTTTAAGGACAGCCATTCTAATTAGCATGAGATGGTATCTCCTTGTGGTTTTGATTTGCATTTCTCTGATGACCAGTGGTGATGAGCATTTTTTCATGTGTCTGTTGGCTGCATAAATGTCTTCTTTTGAGAAGTGTCTGTTCATATCCTTTGCTCACTTTTTGATGGGGTTGTTTGTTTTTTTCTTGTAAATTTGTTTAAGTTCTTTGTAGATTCTGGATATTAGCCCTTTGTCAGATGAGTAGGTTGCAAAAATTTTCTCCCATTCTGTAGGTTGCCTGTTCACTCTGAGGGTAGTTTCTTTTGCCATGCAGAAGCTCTTTAGTTTAATTCAATCCCATTTGTCTATTTTGGCTTTTGTTGCCATTGCTTTTGGGGTTTTAGTCATGAAGTCCTTGCCCATGCCTATGTACTGAATGGTATTGCCTAGGTTTTTTTCTAGGGTTTTTATGGTTTTAAGTCTGCCATTTAAGTCTTTAATCCATGTTGAATTAATTTTTGTATAAGATGTAAGGAAGGGATCCAGTTTCAGCTTTCTACATATGGCTAGCCAGTTTTCCCAGCACCATTTATCAAATAGAGAATCTTTTCCCCATTTCTTGTGTTCATCAGGTTTTTCAAAGATCAGTTGGTTGTATATGTGTGGTGTTATTTCTGAAGCCTCTGTTCTGTTCCATTGTCTATATATCTGTTTCAGTACCAGTACCATGCTGTTTCGGTTACTGTAGCCTTGTAGTATAGTTTGAAGTCAGGTAGCATGATGCCTCCAGCTTTGTTCTTTTTGCTTAGGATTGTCTTGGGTATGTGGGCTCTATTTTGGTTCCATATGAACTTTTAAGCAGTTTTTTTCCAATTCTGTGAAGAAAGTCCTTGGTAGCTTGATGTGGATGGCATTGAATATATACATTATGTTGGGCAGTATGGTCATTTTCATGATATTAATTCTTTCTATCCATGAGCATGGAATGTTCTTCCATTTCTTTGTGTCCTCTTTTATTTTGTTGAGCAGCGATTTGTAGTTCTCCTTGAAGAGGTCCTTCACATCCCTTGTAAGTTGGATTCCTAGGTATTTTATTCTCTTTGTAGCAATTGTGAATCGGTGTTCACTCATGATTTGGCTCTCTGTTTGCCTGTTATTGGTGTATAGGAATGCTTGTGATTTTTGTATATTGATTTTGTATCCTGAGACTTTGCTGAAGTTGCTTATCAGCCTAAGGAGATTTTGGGCTGAGATGATGGGGTTTTCTAAATATACAATTATGTCATCTACAAACAGGGGCAACTTGATTCCTCTTTTCTTAATTGAATATCCTTTATTTCTTTATATTGCCTGATTGCCCTGGCAGGAACTTCCAACATTATGTTGGATAGGAGTGGTGAGAGAGGGCATCCTTGTGTTGTGCCGGCTTTCAAAGGGAATGTTTCAACTTTTTGCCCATTCAGTATAATATTAGCTGTGGGTTTGTCATAAATAGCTCTGATTATTTTGAGATACATTCTATCAATACCTATTTTATTGAGAGTTTTCAGCATGAAGCGCTGTTAAATTTTGTCAAAGTCCTTTTCTGCATCCATTGAGATAATCATGTGGTTTTTGTCATTGGTTCTGTTTATGTGATGGACTATGCTTATTTATTTGCATATGTTGAACCAGACTTGCATCCCAGGGATGAAGCCAACTTGATCATGGTGGATAAGCTTTTTTATGTGCTGCTGGATTAGGTTTGCCAGTATTTTATTGAGGATTTTTGCATCAATGATCATCAGGGATATTGGTCTAAAATTCTCGTTTTTTGTTGTATCTCAGCGAGGCTTTGGTGTCAGGATGATGCCGGCCTCATAAAATGTGTTAGGGAGGAGTACCTCTTTTTCTATTGATTGGAATAGTTTCAGAAGGAATAGTACCAGCTCCTCTTTGTACTTCTGGTAGAATTTAGCTGTGAATCTGTCTGGTCCTCAGCTTTTTTGGTTGGTAGACTATAAATTATTGCCTCAATTTCAGAGCCTGTTATGGGTCTATTCAGACATTCAACTTCTTCCTGGTTTAGTCTTGGGAGGGTGTATGTGTCCAGGAATTTATCCATCTCTTCTAGATTTTCTAGTTTATTTGCATAGAGGTGTTTATAGTATTCTTTGATGGTAGTTTGTATTTCTGTGGGATCAGTGGTGATATCCACGTTGTCATTTTTTATTGTGTCTATTTGATTCTTCTCTCTCTTTATTGGTCTTGCTAGTGGTCTATCAATTTTGTTGATATTTTCAATACACCAGCTCCTGGATTCATTGATTTTTTAAAGGGTTTTTTTGTGTCTCTATCTCCTTCAGTTATGCTCTGATCTTAGTTATTTCTTGCCTTCTGCTAGATTTGAATTTGTTTGCTCTTGCTTCTCTAGTTCTTTTAATTGTGATGTTAGGTGTCTATTTTAGATCTTTCCTGCTTTCTCTTGTGGGCATTTAGTGCTATAAATTTCCTTCTACACACTGCTTTAAATGTGTCCCAGAGATTGGTATGTTGTGTCTTTGTTCTCATTGGTTTCAAATAACATCTTTATTTTTGCCTTCATTTTGTTATTTACCCAGGAGTCATTCAGGAGCAGGTCGCTCAGTTTCCATGTAGTTGTCTGGTTTTGGGTCAGTTTCTTAATCATGAGTTCTAATTTGATTGCACTGTGGTCTGAGAGACAGTTTGTTGTGATTTCTGTTCTTTTACATTTGCTGAGGAGTGTTTTATTTCCAATTATGTGGTCTATTTTAGAATATGTGTGACGTGGTGCTGAGAAGAATGTATATTCTCTTGATTTGGGGTGGAGAGTTCTGTAGAGGTCTATTAGGTCCACATGGTGCAGAGCTGAGTTCAAATCCTGGATATCCATGTTAACTTTCTGTTTCATTGATCTGTCTAATATTGACAGTGGGGTGTTAAAGTCTCCCATTATTATTGCGTGGGAGTCTAAATCTCTTTGTATGTTTCTAAGGACTTGCTTTATGAATCTGAGTGTTCCCATATTCGGTATATATATATATATATATATATATATGTGTGTGTGTGTGTGTGTGTGTGTGTATATATGTATATATATGTACAACAAGAAGAGCTATCATATATGTGTATATATATGTATATATGTATGTATATGTATACATATACATACATATATATGTGTATATGTATATATGTATATATGTATGTGTATATATATATACACATATTTGTGAGTGTATGTATATATACATATACATGATAGTTAGCTCTTCTTGTTGAATTGATCCCTTTACCATTATGTAATGGCCTTCTTTTTCTCTTTTGATCTTTGTTGGTTTAAAGTCTGTTTTATCAGAGACTAGGATTGCAACCTCTGCTTTTTTTTTGCTTTCCATTTGCTTGGTAGATCTTCCTCCATCCCTTTATTTTGAACCTATGTGTGTCTCTGCACATGAGCTGTGTCTCCTGAATACAGCACACTGATGGGTCTTGACTCTATCCAATTTGCCAGTCTGTATCTTTTAATTGGGGCGTTTAGCCCATTTACATTTAAGGTTAATATTGTTATGTGTGAATTTGATCCTGTCATTATGAGGTTAGCTGGTTATTTTGTCATCAATTGATGCAGTTTCTTCATAGCATTGATGGTCTTTACAATTTGGCATGTTTTTGCAGTGGCTGGTCCCGGTTGTTCCTTTCCATGTTTAGTGCTTCCTTCAGGAGCTCTTTTAGGGCAGGCCTGGTGGTGACAAAACCTCTCAGCATTTGCTTGTCTGTAAAGGATTTTATTCCTCCTTCACTTATGAAGCTCACTTTGGCTGGATATGCAATTCTGGGCTAAAAATTATTTTCTTTAAGAATGTTGAATATTGGCTCCCACTCTCTTCTGGCTAGTAAGGTTTCTGGTGAGAGATCCACTGTTAGTCTGATGGGCTTCCCTTTGTGGGTAACCTGACCTTTCTCTCTGGCTGGCCTTAACATTTTTTCCTTCATTTCAACCTTGGTGAATCTGACAATTATGTGCCTTGGGGTTGCTCTTCTCAAGGAGTATCTTTGTGGTGTTCTCTGTATTTCCTGAATTTGAATGTTGGCCTGCCTTGCTAGGTTGGGGAAGTTCTCCTGGATCATATCCTGAAGAGTGTTTTCAAACTTGGTTCCATTCTCCTTGTCACTTTCAGGTACACCAATTAAACGTAGATTTGGTCTTTCACATAGTCCCATATTTTTGGAAGCTTTGTTCATTTTTTTTTTCACTTTTTTCTCTAAACTTGTCTTCTTGCTTTATTTCATTAATTTGATCTTCAATCACTGATATTCTTTCTTCCACTTGATCAAAACAGCTATTGAAGCTTGTGCATGCATCACGAAGTTCTCGTGCCACGGTTTTCAGCTCCATATGGTCATTTGAGGTCTTCTCTACACTGTTTATTCCACTTAGCCATTCACCTAACCTTTTTTCAAAGCTTTTAGCTTCCTTGTGATGGGTTAGAACATGACCCTTTAGCTTGGAGAAGTTTGTTATTACCGACCTTCTGAAGCTTACTTCTGTCAACTCATCAAAGTCATTCTCCATCCAGCTTTTTTCTGTTGCTGGTGAGGAGCTTTGATCCTTTGGAGGAGAAGAGGAGCCCTGGTTTTTAGAATTTTCAGCTTTTCTGCTCTGATTTCTCCCCGTCTTTGTGGTTTTATCTACCTTTGGTCTTTGATGTTGGTGAACTGTTACAGATGGGGTTTTTGGATGGATGTCCTTTCTGTTGATGTTCATGCTTTTCCTTTCTGTGTGTTAGTTTTCCTTCTAACAGTCAGGTCCCTCAGCTGCAGGTCTGTTGGAGTTTGCTGGATGTCCACTCTGTGCTCTGTTTGCCTGGGTATCACCAGTGGAGGCTGCAGAACAGCAAATATTACAGAACAACAAATATTGCTGCCTGGTCCTTCCTCAGGAAGATTTGTCCCAGAGGGGCACTTGCCTGTATGAGGTGTCTGTCGGCCCCTACTGAGAGATGTCTCCCAGTTAGGCTATATGGGGGTCAGGGACCCACTTGAGGAGGCCATCCGTCCATTCTCAGAGCTCAAACTCCATGCTGGGAGAACCATTGCTCTCTTCAGAGCTGTCAGACAGGGATGTTTAAGTCTGCACAAGTTTCTGTTGCCTGTTTTTCAGCTATGCCCTACCCACAGAGGTGGTGTCTATAGAGGCAGTAGGCCTTGCTGAGCTGTGGTGGGCTCTGCCCAGTTTGAGCTTCTTGGCCACTTTATCTACTCAAGACTCAGCAATGGCAGACACCCCTCTCCCCACCAGGCTTCAGCCTCATTGGTTGATCTCAGACTGCTGTGCTAGCAGTGAACAAGGCACCATGGGTGTGGGACCTGCTAAGCCAGGCACAGGAGAGAATCTGACAGTTGCTAAGACAGTGGGAAAAGTGCAGTATTTGGGCAGAAGTGTCCCATTTTTTCAGGTAGAGTCTGTCATGGCTTCCCTTGGCTAGGAAAGGGAAATCCCCTGAAACCTTGTGCTTCCAGGGTGAGACGATGCCCTCCCCAGCTTCAGTTTGCCCTCTGTGGGCTGTACCCATTGTCCAACCAGCCCTAATGAGATGAACCAGGTACTTCAGTTGGAAATGCCAAAATCACCCATCTTCTGTGTTGATCACACTGGGAGCTGCAGACTGGAGATATTCCTATTCGGCCATCTTGAAATAGACCTCTATGGAGTTGTTATTAATATATCCATGTTATGTCAGAAGAAATGGTGGCAGAGAGATTCTAAGTTACCTGTTCAAGATCACACAGACAGTCATATTATGAACCCAGGCAGTCTGGCTGCAGAGACTATACCCTTATCTGTGTTCCTATTTGCCTTTCAAGACAATTTAAGGGAATACAAATATCCATCACAGTATGTGTGATATTTTGGGCTTTTCTTTTCCCCTTCTATCAATAGTAACCAAGAGATGTTTAAACTCTCATCTCTGAAAACCACCCATGCTTCCTTGATGAATAAATTCTGGCATTTTGGTGGCAATGAGAGGAACCAGAGATTCATTGAGTGCTGTATTCAGAACCTCCCATTCTGCTGTCTGCTGGGGCCTGAAAGGACCACGGTGTCCTGGTTTGTAATGGACCATACTGGAGAGCTGTGGATGGCAGCCATCATGCCTGAGTCCCGGGGCCAGGGCCTCATGTCCTATCTTATCTGGTCCCAGTTCCAGATTCTGGACAAACTTGGCTTCCCCCTATATTACCATGCAGACAGAGCCAACAAATGTGTACAGGGTGTAAGTCATGCTCTGCATCATATTCTCATGCCCTGTGACCAGAACCAATGAAACTGTGTTTCTCTGTGAAGCTAGCCCTGAACATAAGACAGTGTTGTGTGGAATGTGCATGCGAGTGGAGGAGTGTATGGTGGACAGAGAGAAAGGATGAATTTTAATAAACAGGAAAGGAGTGGATGATATTTGGGCTCTGGGGAAGCAGTGTGAATGGTCAATAGGTCTTCCTTGGTCCCTGCACTTGAATTCTCCTTCCAATCTAGCAGACATGGTATGGCCAAATCTTCCTGTAGTGGTCTCTGATTTTGTTCAATTTCCTATACCTCTAGATCTCCGTGACACTTTTTATTCAGCTGCATGCTGCCCTGGTGCCTCTCTTGGAACTCATGTCTTACATGTGGATTGTTGATAATGGGTAGATTTTGCCAGTTTTGATGAGATATGGTATTATCTTTTGGGTAGTATAATTTTTCCCTGTTTTTCTATGACCTCTTCATTTAGTAGCCAGAGTGTGTCCTTTGTCTCTCAGAGGTATTTTGAAGTGATTATTTTATGGCTAGCCCTTTGATCTGCTTAATAATCACATTAACATGTATGAAAAATATGTGACATTAGATGTATATGACACCTGGGGAAGTTATTAAGAGAAAGACTAGCTGTTGGTAGGACTTTTTCTCACTGCCACCCCAGGAAAGTGAGACTGGTATTACCTTTCTAAAGTTGGGTGAAATTTCATCCCCATGATCACCTTACTATAAAGAAATCTTATGTTTGATTGTGGAAGTTAAGATTGAGTGTCCATCAGTTAGAGGCCATGGAGATGGGATAGTGGGAAGAGAGAGAGATACATATGTATCATTAGTGACAAGTATTCAATTAGACTAATGTAGCCCACTTATACAACCTTTATTTAATGTATATATTTTGGGGGCACATGTGATATTTGGTAAATGTATACAATGTGAAATCATCAAATGACAATAATTCGGATATCCATCACTTCAAACATTCATCTTTTCTTTGTGTTGGGAACATTACAATGCCTCTCTTCTAGCTATTTTGAATTATGCAATAAAATATTATTATGTATAATAATGTTTCTTTTCTTTCTTTTTATTCAATCCTCTGTTATTTCTTTTTTAAAATTTATTTTCTTGAGGAAAATTCTAGGGACTGGAAGTAGTGACATTGAAATGAGCCATGATTATTCTGCTTATTGACATGACATTTTTATGTCCTTTCTGCATGCTGGCAATATCAAACACATGTACCAAATTCTCAACAATTTGCTTGTTTCAATAACAGCAATAAATATTAACTGATTGCCAAGCACTGTTCTGGGCATTTTGGATACATACTGAACAAAATATAGATCGCTTGCAGGGCTTACATTCTAGTGATCACCTATTAATATAAAAATAAAACATACCAGTAATATGATATAAACACTGAGGGCATGGGGCAGCATATTACAGTGATTAGGATGGAGCTAAACTCCCTGGATGAAGATCCCAGATCTTCCTTTTATCAACTATAAAGTTGGGCAAATTATTTAACATCACTGTGCTCATAGCTTCTTTATGTACAAAATGAAGTATTATTTATTGAAAGGATCAAATGAATGAGAAAATATAAATAAAAACTTAGAGCAATGCCTGGCACATGTTAAACATTCCAAAAATGTTACTTAAAATATTTGTTATAAAACATCAGGACAGGTGCAATATGAAGTGAAGATTATTATATAGTGTATCCGTGAGAGGAGCAGTCAACAAATTCAAACTAAGCTATAAGATTTTCAGATTATAATTTACAAATCGGATTCAAAATAGTCTTGTACCAATTTATCATCTACCAGCTGTATATGTTCTGTAATCCTGGAGTCAGAAAACCTAAATTTAAAAACATATCCAGTGTTCTGGGTCCACCTTTAGGATACACCTTTGTCTGTGGGGCAAATGGCCAACCATGAACCTATAAATGCATAGACAGCTGGTGCATAGGAAGTACTTGTTTTCTTGGGCGTTTAGTTGCTCATTTCTGTGTCCATAACTCTAGTGATGCCTGGCAAAGAACCAGCTTTTTAGAAGTTTTTGCTAGAACAAAAAGATTGATATTAGGTCTTTTCCAAGATAAATATTTATCAGGCAGCCTACCATATGGTGTAGGATATTTCATTGGGTGAATTATCTTGTCCTGTGGTGAATTATCTTGTGGGGACTTGCCATGCATGAACATATGATTAGGAACCTTTCCATCACCCTAAGAAGGTTTGCCAATGTGACTGCATTGGTCATAGTGGCTCAACAGAGAGTGATAGATTCTTTGGCTTGAGCAGTACTAGATAATTGAATTGCTCTAGACTATACCCTGGCTGAACAAGGAAGTATTTGTGTTATGGCTAATACATCATGCTGTGTTTACATTAATACTTCTGCAGAAGTTGAGACCCATCTAGATAAAATTAGACAAGAAGCTGCTTGGTTCCAGGAAGTGTCCCATAACAAACCTGGATAGAGAGAGTCTACTTAAACTAGGAATTACAATTCTATGTGTATTGGGATTTCTTTTCCTTCAGGTCTGTAGCTGCTGTCTATCTTGTACTTTTAAATCAATTTCCTCTGCTAATGGAATGATTATATGATCTATTAGTTCATTTTCACACACTGCTATGAAGATTGTACTCAAGACTGGGTAATTTATAAACAAAGGAGATTTAATTGACTCATAGTTCCACATGGCTGAGGAGGCTTCAGAAAACTTACAATCATTGTGGAAGGGGAAGTAGTCATGTCTTACATGGCAGCAGGCAACACAGAGAGATAAGTGAGAACACAGGAAAAAAACTGCCATTTTCTCATCAGATCTCATAAGAATTCACTCGCTATCACTAGAACAGTGCGGGGGAAACTGCCCCCGTGACCCAATCACTTTCCTCCCCCTACATGTGGGGATTACAATTCGAGATGAGATTTGAGTGGAGACACAGAGCCAAACCATATCGCATGATATGCAAAAGAGTTATCTGACCCATCTGTTTGACTATAACCTGGGATCTATGAGTATTTACAATTATATGCAAACAATTTCATTCCTTAGACCCAGACCCACACCTCCTTTCAGCAGGAAATAACTACAGTGGTTGTTGCCCAAATCCCTCAAGATTAAGGAATGAATTAAAAAATGAAGGATTTGTAACCAGCCCATACTGGCCCTACTCCATTGATAACAGAAGGTCAGGTTATCTTGTAGGTATGACAGAGCCCAAACTGCAAGTCATACAGAGGAGGCATGCACAACTGAGAAAAAAAAAAAAAAAAAAAAAAAAAAAAAGCTGTGACCTCTAACAACACCAGGAACCAGTGTTTCCTCTCTGTGGAACAAAGACCAGGACATGACCAGAACCTGAATACTGGAAGCCTTTAAGAAGCAAGGGGTCCATTGGCCAGAAAGCTTGGGCTAAAATCTGCCTCAACATACCTTACCATATATGGTCAGATTTGAAGCCTTTCACTCAGACCCTGCCAAGCCAACATTCCTAATATTCCCCAAACCCTTTGATCCCTTAAAACATGCCCAGACCCCAAATCAGGAAGACAGATTTTAGCCACACCTCCTATCTCCTTGATTGATGGCTTTGTAATAAAGTCTTTCTTTTCTCAAAAGCCAGTGTCATAGTGATGGCTTCTGTGCACACTGGGTACTGAGCTCATTGTTTAATAAAAATTCTATGTGTGTTTTTATAGCTAAAGATACAAGATACAAGACCCAACTATATGTTAATTTCATTTACTTAACTATATATACCCAACTATATGAAGGTAGTGTATATTTGGGTCTTGTATCTTTATCCATTCAGCCACTCTGTGACTTTTATTTGGGGAATTGAGGCCATTTACATTTAATGTTATTATTGATAAGTAATGACTTACTGTTGCCATTTTGTTGCTTGTTTTCTGGTTGCTTTTGAGGATCCTCTTCTTTTCTTCCTTCCTTACTGTCTTCCTCTGTGGTTAAGTGATTATGTGCAATACTGTATTTTAATTTGTTGCTTTTTATTTTAGTGAATCTATTATAGGTTTTTGAACTGTTGTTACTATGAGTCTTACAGAAAACACAGATATAACAAGTTATTTTACAGAGATAACTTATCTTAGATCACAAATAAAAGAATAGAAATAAAGACAAAACCCACACATAAAAATTCTGTACATTAACTTTGTCTCCCCTACATTTTAACTTTTAGTTCTTTCAACTTACATATTTTTATATTACCTATTTCTGAATGGGTTGCTGTAGCTATTATTATTTTAGATAGATTTGTCCTTTGGGCTTTATACTAGAGTTATGAGTGGATTGCACACCACACATGAAATAGCTGAGTATTCTGGGTTTCTTCGTGTACTTAATTTTACCAGTGAGTTTTTTACCCTAAAGAGATTTCTTGCATATTAGTGTTTTTTTCTTTCAGACTGAAGAACTCCCTTTAGCATTTCTTGCAAGATAGGTCTTGTGGTGGTAAATTCTCCCAGCTTTTGTTTGTCTGAGAAAAATTTTATCTATTTCAAATTTCAATGATGGTTATTCTAGGTACAATATTCTTGGGTGCAGTTTGTTTTTCTTTGAGTATTTAAAAATGCCATTTCTCTCCATCCTTGATGGTATAATTTCCATTGAGAAGTATGTTGGCAGGCAAATTGGAGTTCCTTAATATGTTATTTTCTTCTTATCTTTCACTGCTTTAGAATCTTCTCTTTTTCCTTGCTCTTTGAGAGTTTGAATACTAGATAACTTGGGGTAGTGTTATCTGGGTTAAATCTATACGGTGTTCTAAGATCTTCCTGTACCTAAATATTTATATCTTTCTCAAATTTTGGAAAGATTTTTGTTATTATTTCTTTAAATAAGCTTTCTATCCCTTGCTCTTGCTCAACTCCCTCTTGAACACCAACAATTCTTCATTTGGTCTTTTGAGTCTATTTCTATATTTTGTAGATGGTCTTCATTACTTTTTATTTGTTCTTTCTTCTCTCTTACTGTGTATTTTCAAATAGCCAGTGTTTGAGGTCAGTGATCCTTTCCTATGCTTGGTTTATTCTGCTGTTGAAAGCCTCTAAATACCTCTTCAGTTCAGCAAATGTATTTCTCAGTTTCAAGATTTCTGTTTGATTTTGTTTTTATTATTTCAATATCTGTCAAATTTATCTGATACATTTCTTAATGGCTTTTTTGTGTAATTGATGCAGGATTTTTTGCTCCTTGGTTCAGCTAAATCTGAGTTCTTGTCTCACAACTAGGAAAAATTAGGCATGAGGACAAATTAGATTAGGAGGACAAATTGAAATTGAAATTAAAATTAATTAATTTAATTGATTATTTAATAATCAAATAATCAATTAAATAATTAATTAATTCAATTAATTAAATTAATTAAAATTAGGCATGAGAACACATTGAAAGATGTAGATTAAAATTAAAATTAGGCATGAGGACACATTGAAAGGTGGAATTTATTAAGTGAAAGGAAAGCTCTTAGCAAAGACTGGGGTCTTTCACACAGGTTTCCACCTCACGAATTGAATACCAGGCCACCATACATGAGCTTAAGAGGCCAGGCTTCTCCCCTGCATAAGGCATGAATTTCTGGTGGCTGCATCCCATTTCCCCACTGCATGTGGGCAGGAACCTGTGCAGGTTCCCTTATCTGCACAAAGGATCAGTGTAAATACATGTGGGGCAGGTTGGAGATTCTCCAGGGAACCTTCCTTATCTGTCTAAGCATTTGTCTGCTTCCCACCTCTGTCACTCTCTGCTGTAAAGAGGTGCATCTAACTGCTACTGGAATACGGATAAAGACAAATCTTAACTGCTTCCTGCTGACAGGGGGCGCTGTTTTAGGAAGAAGGCAGTCAGATCTCCCTGAGAGACCTGTCTAAGAGTCCCCAGTAAAAGGGGCCATCATCTGAGGCTCTGGTTGCATGACTATTTGGAGTCATGGCCTGGAAGCAAGAGGGAACAAACTTGGTTATTATAAAACATGTATCAAAACAAAACAAGGGAGGGGGTAAGGACAGCTAAAAAATCCCAATGCTATCAACATGTCCACATAACTGGTGGCTATAGTTACACCTGCTAAGATTTGGGTACATGGGGCTCAGCTTTGGTTAGTTCTCTTGGTCTTATTTTCCCAAACAAAGAAACCTCTGGGTTATGGACATTCTATTTACTCCCATCACCTGGCAAGATTTGCAGGATAATTGTCCAGAACTAGAATATCCAGATTTTTACATTATCCATACTTTTTCATTTCTTCTGGGCTGAAATTGGAGATTGCTGGTTGGTTCACAGGAGTAAGCAGGGTTAGTTTAAAATGTGGGCAAGAACTTAAAAACAACCAATGAGTCTAGAATTTAATAAAAACTGTATGATAAGTTTTGAAACATAATTTCTCTCTCTCCAGTCTTCATTTTTGTTAAAAACAAATTATGATAGGACTGACTTGTTTGCAAAAGAGATTTTAGTCTTATACTTGGACTGATTATTTGCATAAAGTGCAGCAAGAATAATTATTTTTACATAACTTGGGTATCCACTTTTAGTTAAACTGAGCACTCATTAAGAAAGCCCTTTTAAATTCCTTATTACCCAACTTTAGCCACACCAAGCAGCCGATATTTTTGGCTTTTGAACTTTACCAGAAGTAACCTCAGAGGCGAAACCAACAAACCTCAACTAAGATTATGACTTAACTGGGAGTGTGTAAGACATTCTCAAAGAGGTGGCAAGCAGTTTTTACAAAATCTAGAAGCTTTAAAGGTAGCTCAGAGAAGGAAAGATTCAAGAAAGGAGGCTAGAAATGGTTCATGGAGGGGAATAGAATCAGCAAATGGCAAAAGTCACACAGGTATTAACTAGTAAGTACTCATTCCCTAAGCCGGGAATGAACCCAGGCTACTATTGCAAAATGGCAGAGGCTAAAACAAAGTACTGCCATGTCATTACAGGTCATGCTCCCAAGGAAGTAAAACAAGATGGAGGCCTGCAGCAAAATTTGTTGCTGACCACTTTGCCAGGCTGACTTGAGCAGTGGGCTTACAGGGTCCTAGGCCCACATCTTATCCTAAGATACCAGTCTTTCTGACAGAACTATACAGAAGGACATACAAAGCACACCAGATTGGCTACAGCTTAAGACAAACCTCATAAATCCATTTTCATTAATCAAAACTTTACAGCAAATATAAACAGTGATTCTTACCATTCCTTTTACTGGTTTGCACAGGAAGAGGCAGGCCAAAATTCCAACTGGTAAAAAAATCTTTTACCCTAGTGCTGGCATGTCAGGCTTCTAGGTTCCCTTCCTCTGAGCCTAATTCTAACCCAACCAGTTTAAGATTTGGGAAATTAACTTTTCCCAGTTTGAGGGATGCATTCAAGGGGAATGTCCTGTAGTACAGTAACACGATTCCCCTTCTGGGAAGACAGGACCAAGTGGGAAAAAGGAAAAAAAAGACATTTTTTCAAAAGAGCCCCAGGACTCAGGATGCATTTGAAAGGGGTGCAGACCGAAGATAAATGGCTACTCATCTAGAAAGAGGGGAGCCATCTGTCCCTAATTCCTCACTCTTCCTAGCAAATACCTGGAGTGTGTGAGGGAGAGAAGGAAAATGTGTCCTCTTTCCTTCTTTCATCCTTATATACTAAGTCCCTGTGACCTCAACAGGATGCCACTCATGGGTGCCAATGTGACTTTCACCCATGTTAACAGGGAACCTAGGAGGTGGGATTATGGGCTCTTACCCATGCACTGCATTTCCCCCTGCTGTCCATAGCCTTCAAGTCCTTAGACCTCATTTATGCCATGGATACTAGCATGACCTCTATCCATGAAATGGGAAACTTGTGAATTGGGGTCTGACCTGATAAAAAACCTTTCAAGAAAAACAAAACAAAACAAAAAACACTGGCATAGAGAAGCCTCCTCTACTCACAGGGCTGTGTTACTAGGTTGGTGCAAAAGCAATCATGGTCCCCACCATTCTAAGTAATGGCAAAAACTGCAACTACCTTCACACCAACACATTAACTCTTGACCTAGGGGAGAAAATTAAAAAAAAAAAAACTGCTGGCAGGGTAGAGAACGGAGGAAAAATTCTTAAGTGCAGGGCTGTGTTAACTGCTGACAGGTTGGAGAAAAGATAAAGATGCCTGGGAGAAGAAGCCTATTATTCTTATGCAAATGGATTTCTCCACAGGGAGAGAAACTTTTAATTGCTTTCAATTAAAAGTTCAACTGAGCTGGACCCCTCAGCCAGGGAGGAGAAGACTCCTGTGGATGCGTGACACGGAATAATGGCCAGCTGGTCGCTCAGGGCTTCTGGCCCCTGAGACCACTCTGGGGCTCTGGCAGCAGCTGTGGCTCAGTCCTACCCTGCATAACAGTTGGATGTCGCATGCACATGCAGCAGACATGGCCATGTGCCCCAGCCAGAAGGGAAGTGGGGCAGGAAGCTGCCACTCACCAGTTCTTCCCATGTGCACCTGTGGCCATTGGGGTTGGGGTGGAACACTCCCAATATTGTAAAAGAAAAGATAGGTGCCATTACACTCCTGGAAAAACAGAAGGAAGATGCCTAGAAAACACTGGGTTGCACTGAGGCTGACATTCCTGATCCCCGAGAGCAACAGGGGTTGGGGTGGGGGTAGTTTCCCCTGACTTCAGAAAAAGTCTGAGGACAAGAAAGCTCAGAAAACAAAGTGAAAGAGATTTTTGGGTTTGCATTTTTTTCACTCTTCTGATGTATTCCTGTACTGGCCACAAAAATGTTGCAGGATTTTTTGCTCATGAGTTCAGCTAAATTCAGGTTCTTGTCTCATGACTAGGAAAAATTAGGCATGTGGACACATTGAAAGGTGAGGAGGGTGGAATTTATTAAGTGAAAGGAAAGCTCTCAGCAAAGAGAGGGGTCCTGCATGCAGGTTTCCACCTCACAGATTGAATACCAGGCTACCACACAACAGCTGAAGGAGCCAGGCTCCTCCTCCGCATAAGGTGTGAATTTCTGGTGGCTCCATCCCATTCCCCCACTGCATGTGGGCCTCCTGTCTTTTGTGGGAATGTTCAGGCAAGACCCTGTGTGGGTTCCCTTATCTGCACAAAAACATCTGGTGTAAATACTTGTAGGGCAGGTTGGAGATTCTCCAGGCAACCCTCCTTATCTGCCTAGGCATTTGTCTTCCTCCTGCCTCTATCACTATCTTGGAGATCACTGAGTTTCTTTAAAACTGCTCTTTTGAATTCGCAGTCAAAGAGTTCACAAATCACTGTTTTCTTAGAGTCAGTCACTAGATTTTTGCTCTGCCCTTTTGGGAAAGTCATGATTCCTTGTTTGCTGTTGTTTATTGTGGTTATAAGTCTATGTCTTTTCATTGAATGACTAGTTATTTATTAGTTTTCTCTGTCTGGCTTGGTTTAGTTTTTATTGAATATATTTGTTTACGGAATCTCCACTACTAGATCTCTGCCTCCTTTTCAACTGTACATGGTGCCTTAAGTCCAGGTTTACCTCAGCTCTAGTATTAATAATTGGCCCAAGCACTGCCTGTCCCAAATAGAAGACCTTCCAAAGGGATTATCTGGCAGTAAAGGGAAGGCTGGCTAGGCTTTTGCTCTCAGGAGACTTGTGGAACAAATCTCCTACAGCCACTCTGATTTGGCATCTCCTTTGGCTGAGTTACAGAGCAGAGTTTCCAGGGCCATGGATGGTAGACACCCCCTGTTCATCTCTGCCTGTCCTCATGGATATTTGTCCCTTTAGGAAGTTATGGTGCCACTTGTCACTTGAAATAAAGGACATGCCTGCTTCCAGGGAATCCAAGAAGGTGAGGAAGCTGGTTTACCATCTCAGTTTTAATATTTCCAGTGCTGAAACCATGAGTTGGTAGGAGATTTTCTGTGTGCCTGGCAGAATGGTGGGGAGGGGCATTGTGGATGTGCAAGTCTGATTCTCCTAACATCTTCTCAAAGTCTTTCTACTTCTCTGTTGCCCCAGGAACTGTCTCATCCTCATACTTGAGCTCTGGGTTGTTGCTAGTGTAGTTCCTGGTGCTGTATATTTGTTTGTTTGTGTGTGTGTGTGTGGGGGGGGGGGGTAGGGTAGAGAAGCCAGCTTGCCTCTACATTGCAATTTTGGAACTAGGAGTTTTCAGAAGTTCTCCATTTTCTTATTAATCTTCTGTTTGGATGTTCTATTTATTATTGATAGTGGGATATTGAAATCCCCTGTTATTATTGTTTTGCTATTTATTTCCCCCTTTAGTTCTGTCAATGTTTGCTTCACATATTTGGGTGCTATGATGTTGGGGACACAGACATCCTATTCTGCTATCTTGCTAACTCTGATTGTTATTAAGATTTTCATTTTATCTTTGGTTTTTAGAAATAATTAAATATGCTAATTAAAGCATATTTCTAGGTTTCTGTTTATTCTGATTAAGATTTGTTGATATCTTGGGATCTGTATGTTGATGATATTAATTAAATAATTTCATGTGTTGCTGGGGCCTATTATTATTTTATTTAGAATTTTTGAATATTAGAACAGGAATTAAATTATCAGACATTTGTAAATTTCCTTGACCTAAACTATTACCTTTAGCTCTATGGCCCTTCATTACTCTCTTTCACAAAGTCACATAGTATCAACTTATTAGCTAGTCACCAACAACCAATTTATCTAGAAATATCTCTAACCATACTTAATTCCCATGACATAAACTGATGTAAGATAACTAGCCCAATATACTCAGCCCCAGCATCAACAGGCATGAGATGGATTTTCTTGTTAACCATTTATTTAGCCCTGACATCACCTGAAATCAGGTGGAAAATGCATTAGAAAAAGACAGCCCTTGAGCTTTGATGGAAGTGGCCTTATCAGGGTAATTTTTCTGTAAGTATGGCTGTTAAACTGCAATTAAGTAATCCCTAAATACATGTTTCTCAACTAAAATGACATTATCCTCCATGAAAAGTAATTGGAAAGTTACATCAACTAGAAATCTTAATATAAGATTCTCCACAGAATCTCTGAAAGAGAATAGTTCATAGAAATTGACTGTAGACCCAACATTTCCAACAACAGAAAGACACCTTCATTGAAACTGACAGATTTCACCCAGAATCAGATTATTCCAGTTGTGCAGAAACACTGATTGTCACACTCTCCTTTACATACTTTGTTGTTTATTTTTTTAATTTTCTGAGTCTTTTAAACTTTTTACTGATTTGAAGTCATACAATTTTTATTTTTTTACAGTGTTATACATACTAATATTAATGACTTCAATATGACCAGTCTATAATTTAGATATCCCAAACTATTGTAAATACAGCCAATTTAGAAAATTATGGAATAGGACAACAATGGGAAAAAACAATTAATGGCCATATTTGCAATTGACGCTTCTAAAATAAATTTTGATTAAGAATATTTTAATCAAAAATTGCCTTAATATAACTATAGATAAACATCTAGGGTAAGGTTGCTACAACTCTATTTATGCAAATAACATGACTCAACCTCATCATATGAATCACTTCAACCTCAATAGATATTTGTCTTTTGTCAGTTTTTAATGATATTTTTCTTTTTAGAGATACTGTAAGTCAAATAATGAAGAAACTCATACATATGAACCATTAATAATTTTTAACAAAATAAATAGAAGTGCAACATATTAAGCATAGAAAACCCTGAGAATGAAATAATGGCTGTTATGGACTGAATATTTGTTTTTCTTAAAATTTATATGTTGTAATCGTAAACCCCAATAAGTTGGTATTAGGAGGTGGGACTTTTATGAGGTAATTAGGTCATGAAGGTGGAGTCCTTGTGAATGGAATTAGTGGACTTATTAAAGAGACCCCAGAGCTCTCTCTCTCTCTCTCATTCTTTCTGTCAAGGGAGAACACATCAAGAGGATGGCAGTCTATGAACCAGGAAGCAAACCCTCACCAGACAGACAGTATTGTGACCTTTTGATTTTCAACTTTTCAGTTTCCAGAACTGTGAGAAACAAATGTTTGCTGTCTAAGCCACTCAGTTTATAGTATTTTTGTCACAGCAGCCTGAACAGACTAAGACAATAGTATATTACATTAACCTTACCATCAATGCACCTTTTGTAACCAATGTAAGTACAGGAAATGTCCTTGTGCGAGAAAATGAGATACACATATTCTTGGGATGTAACTGAGAGTGTTTGTCATGTCAAAACCCAGAAAAAATAATCTTGCAGCCCCACTAAAGTTGATTACTCTCTTGTGAAGCATCTGAGATCTTCTTTACAATCACGGGACTCTGGCTCTTCTGTGCCAATCAAGGATAATGATTATTTGTCCTCTGAGCATCTCAGACCATTCTGAGTGTTTGGCTGTTCGATATCTTTAATAGATTTTTTCTCCTTACAAAGAACCTGAAGTGAGAAAACCTTTAAGTATGCAGCATAACTGGCAGAATGGATTCATGATAATGAATGATCCTACACATATAAAGTGTCCATGTAGGATGGTCATGTTATTTTATCCTTTAATTTAGTTGACAAAATAAATAACTGAGACCATAAACTGTCCCCTTACCGATCAGAATAATCAGTGTAAATTATATAGTCTAACCAGTTATGAGTAATTGAACAATTTTTTCCAATCATTGCTAACCCTTCATGTCATACCTGGATTAATGGCACCAGTAAGATGGAAGAATGCATGTCTCAATTAAGAAAATACAGCCTTAATACTGTTTCTTCCTAGGATTTAAAAGGTGGAAAAAGCATTGTTTTCACCCTGATGATAAGACAAGGCTGGACAAACTACAAAAACCACACATGTTCTGAAACTCTTTAGGTATAAGAAGGTACAGGGTAACCAAGTTTCTAAATTTCAAAAAAAAAAGAGGCAGGAATTTCTGAAATAAGAAAGGATACATGTACTTTCTCAACTGTGGTAGAGTACAAGAAGAAGGTGGCTTCCATGCAAGTAAATTTTTAAAATTAGTTAAAATTTTATTCAATTGCTGAAGGCCAAATCTTAGCTACCATGAGAATACAGAACTTCTGGGAGCCTCAGACACAAGAGCAATTCCACCTACTCATGTATTTTTGCATGGACCTTCCCCAGGTGCCAACATTAAGTATTAGAGACAAGCAGAAAACCAGAAAGTGCCTCCCCTTGGTTCTGGAGGGAATGTCATGAGAAAAAGACATGAAGCCCAACTCCTGCCTGGATTCTCTTCTCCTATAAAGTAAAACCCTTAGTCTGCTGGTGAATGGGCCACAAACCCTGCCACCTTCAAGGCACAAGTAAAGACCCAGTATTGCTAGAGATGGGTAAAATACATAAAGGTTTTCTACCTCTATAGGGGCAGGAGATTGTCCTCAGCTCAGGATCCTATTCTAACATTAGTAAGTGTATGCCACCATGGGGGTGTGGTAGTGTCTTAGACCATTTGCTTTGCTATTAAGGAATGCTGGAGGCTGGATAATTTAGGAATAAAAGAGATTTACTTGTCTCATGGTTATGCAGGCTGTACAAGAAGTATGGTGCCAGCACCTTCTTCTGGTGAGGGCATCAGGCTACTTCCACACATGGCATAAGGTGAAAGGGAACTGGTGTGTGCAGAGATCACATGGGAGTGAGGAAGCAAGAGATAGAGACGGGGGAGGTGCCAGGCTGTTTTTAACAATCAGTTCTGTGGGAACTAATAGAGTGAGAACTCACCTGTTACCACAAAAATGGCACCAAGCCATTCATGAAGGATCTGCCCCAAGGTCAGACACCTCTCACCAGGCCCCACCTCCAACACTGGGGATCAGATTTCAATGTGAGATTTGGAGGGAACAAACAAAGCATATCTAATCCATAGTATTCCTCCTCCGGCCTCCCAAGTCAAACGTCCTTTTCACATTGCAAAATATAATCATTCCATCCCAATAGTTTCCAAAAGTCCTAACTTGTTCCAGAACCAACTCAAAAGTCTAAAGGTCTAAAGTCTCATCTGAGATTCAAGGCAAGCTATTTCCACTTATGAACTTTTGAAATAAAAAACAAATTATTTGGTCCAAGAGGCAATGGTTATACAAGCATTGTGTAAATGGGTAGATAACACTCTGTTATGTGATATCTGCCATAGAGACAAGGCTGAGATTGGTTGTCATGGGGATCAGAAATAGGGATGCTGAGAAAGCCCCGCCTCAAGCATACAGGGCCTGTTTAACCAGGACAAGAGAGAATTTTCCCTTCTGTCACACCATCAGCCTGAAAAGCACTAAGTAATGCACTTCTCTTTTAGATACTAAGTTGCAGTCACTTCCTTCAACAAGTCTTCAAGAAATAATATATTTTGGGATTTTTTGTTATTTTCACAGTTTAGAACTCTTTCTCTCCAGGGTAAGAGGGGAACAACTTTTGAACATTTTGAAGTAAGCCTGGTGGGGTTTTCTCATCTCTGGAAACTTCCATGTTGATTACCAGCTCATACAATAGAAGTTCTTCTTTTACACTCCAAAATCAGCTTCTGAGAAGATGGAGGTGATTTGCTTCAGTTCCTTTGATCAGTTATCAAGTTATGTGTTAGTATTTGGCTATGTGGCTATATGTTTATTTTTTATTTTTAGAGACAGGGTCTTGCTATGTTGCCCAGCCTGGTCTCAAACTCCCAGGCTCAAGCAATCCTTCTGCTTACCATCCTGAGTAGCTGGGACTAACAGGCATGCACCACCGTACCATGCCTGGCTCATTTGACTATATTTTAATATAGTGTTATCAGGTATAATTTCTGAGTAACAGATGTTCCATATGGAGGCAAACCTCATCCGACACTGTGATGCAAGTATGTGTGCACTAATATATAGAATAAACTAGTCTAAAAAGTCCAAAATAGATTTTTGACATGTAATGAATTAAGGGAGTTATTAAGAGTCTTTTTGCAAGGGGCAGGGGGCAGTGTACATATATTTCTGCAATATAAATTTTTCTCTCCACTGTCTCATGAGTCTTATGAAAACTGACTTGACCTAGAACCTTAGGGAAAAAATATTCACTAAATATTTCATGCACGCATTTGTATATGCATAATGCACTGTATTAAATAATTATTTACTAAATAAAGCATTTCTATGTGCTTACCATATATCGGGAAGTTGTCTAAGCAATTATGACTATACATATCTAAATTAAGAAAAGACAATCTTAGTTCTGATGCTACTTAGGATTTATAAGGCTGGAAAAAGCATTGCTCCCACAGTAGTGATGAGAAAAATCTGAATAAACTACAAAATCAGTCACGTTCTGAAATTCATTAGGGATCTGAGGGCATGGGCAATCAAGTATCCTGAATTCCAATTAAGCATAGGCCCTGCTTAGGTAAGAAAGGACACAGGAGGACCACTTAATTTTTCTTTAAGACCCTGCAAAGATTCCTAAGGGGAATTATTTAATTCCCTTTATTGATACAGAAATGGAGGCAAGAAAAGGTGAAATCATTTGCTCAAGGTCACACAATAGGTAAGTCGTACAATCAAGATGTCAGCCTGTTAGTTTGGGGGTAGTCATGCTGCAAGCCACTCTGCTATGCTACCTCTGTCATCATTGCTAGCACTTCAATTCAGACCCCAGAGAAAAACCACTTAGAATACTAAGACTGATGCTGGAGCTCCCGAACCTTTTCCCTTGTATCTGATCCCAAAATGTGTGAGGTTTATGTCTGTTATCACATATAACATAGTAAGAATAAGAACCACAGAGTCAAACAAAAGCAAGAAAAATCCTTGGTTACCTAGTACAACACACTTTTTACAGCTAGGGCAACAGCCCAGGGAGGTTAAGAGACTCTAGTCAAAGATTTGAGGGTGAGAGACACCACTGAATCCTGGTCTATTGCCTGGCTGTGTGAGTGTAGGAGCTAAAGTGACAGAATAGGAGGGGTCTGGTTTCTGGGCTTGGGATAAAGGAGTACCCCACTCTTTTGTTGCAGTTAGATATATCCTTTGTGAGATATGAACCCTATTGGAGTCAAGAGATCCACCGGGTTAATAAATGATAGAACAATCTCAGTCGCTTTGAAGAAAGAGTAATGGAAGGTTATAATGACTTCAATCTCAGGGGAAAAGATGGAGAATTAATGTTCTAGGAGTGGCAGGGCTCCTAGACAGTACAGAGAAAAATATGTGAAAACTTGCTCTGTGCTGATCCATTAAGTGAAGGAACACACACACACTTTTTGTCCCTCTTTCTCAACCTAGCCTCTTGTGTCCCTGCTCCTCTGATTAGAGTGTCTGTTGCTTCCTCTACAATAAAGATATTTACTAACCTGGGAATGAGGTGGTGAGAACAAGGACCTGGAGAGTGTCAAACTCCCCATCTTGGCTGTTTTACACAGTGAAATTGAGGCTCAAATTATCTTTGCTGTGAACCCTCCTTTCTTTTCTGAGCAAGTGGAAAGTATAGTAATTAGGACTTCGGAGTGAAAAAGCTCTGGGCTTAACATCTAACCAGTTCAACCATGCTGAGATCTCAATGGTCCTTCTCTATAAAAGTGAGACTAAGAAGTGCTCACATTGAATCATTGTCAGAATGTTTCACTGCAGCTTCAAAATGGGCATGGGAGGGGGCACAACTTGTCTTTAAAAAGGAAGATTCTAACAGCTTTCATCACTCCATGCAAGTAATTTGCTATTTTATTGCATTCTGCAAATCAGATATCATTCATATCTTTCCCACTGCCTTGCTTCTATTACAGATACTTGAATGGGAAAGAGGTGAGGGTAGTGCCTACATAATCTGACCCTCCTTCCAGTATCTGGCCTGTTGGTTTCACACAGCTTTGGTTTTCATGGTATTTCCATGACCTGTGAGGACAAAAAGCATTGTGATGTTTTAAAAAGAGAAGCTCAGGGGCATACAGCCAGCCTCTCAACCATGCAGAGCCAATTACTTCAACATGGGCCCGTGAGAGGCAGGGCTGAATTCCACTAGAACTGACACCAGATTCTTTTGCCAGCCTAGTACAAGGTCCACATTACAAGCCAAAGCTCAGAAATTTCTGGAGGTGGTGTATCAAAATTTACTCTGCGAGACTCTGCTGAACTGGCTGCATCAGGGAGAAATTTCATCTCCCAGAAGGGTGTTGCTCATCGTTTCTTCCCGGAAACATCTGCAGAGACTAGCTTTTCAGGTGAGGACTCATTACAAAGTATCAGATACATAGGATGAACAAGTCTAGAGATCTAATGTACAACATGAGAACTATAGTTAATAGAATTGCATTGTATATGGGATCCATGCTACATGAGTGGAGTTTAGCTGCTCTTTACATAAAAACAACGACAAAAAATAAGTAACTATGTGAAGTAATAGATATATTAATTTGCTTCATAATGGTAATGTTTTCACTATCTGTATGCTCTCATAACATCATATTGTATACTTTAAATATCCACAATAAAATTTATTTTTTTAATGTAATTATTGCTTTGTGACACCTCTTCCACTTAAGTGAGTCAAATTAAAGTGCCCGTATTGTGTTATGCTCAGAATATGCAGACAACTATGCTCAAGGAAAAGGAGTAACTTCCACTTAAGAAACACATATCTGACAACTATTTTGTCAATGGCAGTTTGCTAGCTACCATGAAAATCCTTAGAAGTTTGTGCTCTCGACTAATAAATGAATAAAGAAAGATCTGAGAGCTTCTTGGAAGCAGGTGGATGAATAGAATACTGAGTGTGTGGAGACACCAGAAAAATTACTATTTTTAATCCTGGTCACATTATAAGGGAGGCAGTTTTTTCCTTACACTACTACTAAGAAGTTTGTTGCACTGAAAGTGAGAGAGGAAATAAGTAGATCAATAAGACAAGAATACAGACAAGATTTATTGTTTATTTAAATTATACAGAAAACAAATTTTACTCTAAAGATTTAATCTACAACAGTACTACCACCATTTACTTATTTATTCCTGTTTGCCTTTGTTCTCTCTTAAATTTGAACTTTATGTGTTGTATGTGAACTGTTTTGTGTCCTATATTTTCTCATTTTATTTGAACACTCTCCCATGTGTCTATACATATTATATATTATGTCTGTAGGCATTATGTTAATGCCTTAGGGTTGCATCACTCTGTTGGAACATATTTTATGTTATCTTCCCCTATTGAGGCACATAGAGATTTTGTTCAGACTTGCTTATGTTCATGTGACTTTATAAAATTCTGTTTAGAGTTTTTGTTTTGTTTTGTATTTAGAGACACTCTGTTACCCAGACTGGAGTGCAGTGGTATGAACATAACTCATTGTAACCTTTAACTTGCTGTGGGCTCAAGTGAGTCCAGGGTTAGATTCCACTGGAACTGACATCAGAATTTTTTGCCAACTTAGTACAAGGTCTGCATTACAAGCTGCAACTCAGAAATTTCTGGAAGAGTTGTAACAAAACTCACTCTGTGAGACTGTGGTCAGATTATGTAGGCATAATCTTCCTCTCCTTCCCATTCAAGTAGCTGCAGTAAAAGCAAGGTAGTGGGAAAGATCTGAATGAGGTCTGATTTGCAGAATGTATTCTTTTTTTCTGCTTACACAAAACAGCAAATTACTTGCATGGCATGATGAAAACTATTAGAATCGTCCCACCTTAGCCTCTTGAGTAGCTAGGGCTACAGGTGTGTGTCACCATACCCAACTAATTTTTATTTTTGTAGAGATTGGGGTCTTGCTGTGTTGACCAGGCTGGTCTCAAGCTTTTGCCCTCAATTAATCCTCCCTCCTTGGCCTCTGAAAGTGCTGGAATTACAGGTGCAAGCCACCATGCTCAGCCTAGAGTTGTTTTCTTCTTTTAAATTGTTTTCTTTAGATTAATTTCCATTTCTGTAATAACTGGACCAGGATCAAAGATTCTGAAGTTTATGCCCGGGAATGCTACTCATTGCCCAGTGCTGCCAGCTACCATTATTGTGTCAGATTTCTTGGAAGAACCTCAGTGTCAGTAGCTTTCAGTTTACCCCAACCAAGCATGAGAGCCATACCTCTTTGTTAGTTTGTAAGTACATCCTTAGAGGGTGGTTCCAAACTCTACTCTTCAGAAAATATAGTAATATCACACCCCACAGACTTGACATTAAGCTCTACTTTAACTCTACTTTGTTACTTCCTTCTGAGTTGCATCTAGAGAAAAGACAAGATTAGCCTTTAGGAATGTTATACTTTTATCATCCTAAGACCCTTAGATATGAGATATGGTCTGGAGTTTTCTTCAAGATATAATGTAGTACAAAATAGCTGGAAACTTTTCTCATGTCCAGAATATATTATGCATTTAATACATATGTGTTTATTGAATGAATATATTAATGTCTCTATACTTTTGGAAAGTGGAGTGATTAGACAGACAATTAATACAAGCATTTCATGTATTCAATCATTCGTTACTTATGTATTGAGGGCCTACTCTGTGCCAAATACTGTGATAAGAATTACTGATAAAAGAATAAGTAATATGAGCATCCTGCCTCAGAAGAATTCAACATCTAGAAAAGAAAACGAAATTCAACTTTAAAACATCATGTTGAACAGCATAAATATATACGATATTTATCAATTGAAAGAAGAAAACTTTAACCCAACATAACAAGTTATATAATTAAAATATGCATAAACACTTATGAGAGCACAGAAAAGGGAGTGACTTATTCAGACGGACGTAAGAGACAGTGAAAAGAGCACTAGGGATAACAGGCTATTCGGGTAAACTTGAAGGGGTAAGTGGAAGCCTAATTTAGAAGGCAGAACTGAAGTAGGAAATTTCAAACTGAGAATAAATGTAGAAAGACCAGAGGTGCTAAGCAGACACTGTGTTGAAGAAATCCACTGTGGTCTTACATGGTGGATGGTAGCAACAGAAGAGGCTAGAAGGGTAGACTAGACTCAGATGGTAGAGGTAGAATCCATGGGCTAAGGTATTAAGGTAGTTTCTTTTTATATATGCTCAGATCAGTAATTAGCCAGACTCTAGGAACTTCCTTCCTTCCTTTCTTCCTTCCTTCCTTTCTTTTCTTTTATTCTCTCCTTCCTTCCTTCCTTCCTTCCTTCCTTCCTTCCTTCCTTCCTTCCTTCCTTCCTTCTTTCTTTCTTTCTTTCTTTCTTTCTTTCTTTCTTTCTTCTTTCTTTCCTTTTTTTCTTTTTCTTTTTCTTTCTCTCTCTCTCTCTCTCATCTCTCTGTTTACTCTCTCAACGAAGCTCCACCTTGGCCTCCTTAAGCTCCAAAACCTCCGTAAGCTCAATCAGTGACAGTCCTTGTGCTCTGGTTAGATTCCATATCCCTGAACTTCAACCTGAAAACTTCCATCAGTAAGTAAGCTGGTGCAATTCTAGGACTCACCTTTTCTGTTTTCCTTTTCTCAGAGATCATAGTTCTTTCTGCATATCCTGATGTTCAACATATGAAAATTGTTATTGTTTTAGGTGGAAAGGTAAATTCAAGTTCTGTTATCCTATCTTGGCTGGAAGCAATATTACTGGTAGTGAATTCTTATGGGTCTGCAGCAACCTCAATTCTCTCCTTAGAAGAAAGAATTCAACTGAGGGGCATAAGGTGGAAGGACAGACCAAGGCAAGTTTTAGAGCCACAGTGAAAGTTTTTTAAAAAGCTTTAGCCAGGCGCAGTGGCTCACGCCTGTAATCCCAGCACTTTGTGAGGCCCAGGTGGGCAGATCACAAGGTCAAGGGTTTGAGACCAGCCTGACAAACATGGTGAAACCCCATCTCTACTAAAAATACAAAAATTACTTGGGTGTGGTGTTGCGTGCCTGTAATCCCAGCTACTCAGGAATCTGAGGCAGGAAAATTGCTTGAACCTGGGAGGTGGAGGTTGCAGTGAGCCGAGATTGCACCACTGCACTCCAGTGTGGGTGACAGAGCAAGACTGTGACTCAAAAAAAAAAAAAAAAAAAAAAAAAAAGCTTTAGAGCAAGAAGGAAAAGAACTAAAGTGCACTTGGAAACTTGGAAGAGGGCAAAGTGGGTGACCTGAGAGACCAAGTGAGTAGTTTGAACTTTTGCCTTGGGGTTTTATATGTTGGCTTATTTCTGGGCTCTTGTGTCCATTCTCCCTTGATTCTTCCCTTGTGGTGGGTTGTCCACATGTGCAGTGGTCTGCTAGAACTTGAGAGGTGAGCATGTGCAGTGTGTTTACTGGAATTGTATGCATGCTCACTTAAGGTGTTCTTCCCTTACCAATCAAATATCCCTAGAAGGTCACATACCAATTAAACTTCACCTTTTTGTCTCTGAATGCACATGCTTGAGCCCACTTGCCCAGCTCCTGAGATCTTATCAGGAAGCTGCTGATCACCAGTTTTAGGTTCTCTGTCTACTGAGAGACTACCTGATAGGTGGCTTGTGGGAGTGGGAAGGACCTTCGGGTCTGCACTAAGCAGACGTAATGAACTAATGGCCCTCCTGAACAGGAGGTTTGTGAGAGTGATAGGGCTAAAGCCTAAAACTGCAATGCCTGGGATTTCCTCTGCTTTTTCAACTAAAAATGGCTCTTTCACAAGAAGCTGCACCCTGTATCTCCTGTTTTCTCTGTGTGATCTGAAATTGTCTTGCACACCTACCAAACTGTCTGGCTTGAAGACAAGTCTGCCTCTTCTTTTACTTCACATGCCATGTGACTTCTTAAACACACACTTCCTGTTATTCATGCACCCATGGCTCTTATTGCATTTGTGCAGCAGCAAAGATAAGAGCTCCCTTGCAGACATCCCCCAAAATTTATAGGTGTTTTTATCCTACAAGCTTGGATGACCTCCAATCCTGTCCCTATCTGTTGGTACATTGCCAAAAAAGACACTAATTGAAACCCCAGCTCTGCCAGTGCTTTATGATTTAACATATGCTTTTTGTTCCTGTCACAACCTAGGGCCAAGTTTTTCTGGGGTTTTTGAAACAGTTTGTCCTCCTGCATAGGGCTATGACACTTTAAGGATCTCACCTACTTGCTTTTTTCTTTTTTTTTTGAGTCAGCACTTCTTAAGGGGAGGGGAAATTCTTCCTTTACCATTAGCAAGTTCTTGCCCTAAGTCCCAAGGCCTCCAGAGGTTCCTCCTTTATGTCGAGGGCAAATAAACATTGCTCTCTCAAATCCAAGCATTGCTGTTTTTGTAAGCATATGAAGGCTTTTCATGAGGTTTTTCTCGCTTCCTCCTACTTCCTCCTGTAGTCTCCATTTCTCTAATCACTCCTACTCCCTTTTCAATATGCTGCAAGACCTTCAAGGTCATATTTAAAGGGAGGGAAGTCCAGCCCCCTTATGGCAGTTATTTTCTTTGTAATACTTGGCCTAAGAATGGAATGAGAGAAAATTACAAAAGTCAATCTTGGAACCCAGTACCCTTATGCAGGAAATTCTCAAATTAGCCTTCTCAGTCTTTTATAATGAAGAACAGAATAAGGAGGACAGGGCTAAGAAAAAGTAGAAATGCAGGGACCAGAGGCAGGTATATTGTCTTCTCAATACTCAAGAGTCACCCTTCTACAGGGGACCCCTAGGCTGCCCATCAGTGAGACATGACAGAATTGAAATCCTCCCCCTGTCCCCCTTGAACCTGGCTGGCTACTACTGCCCTGACAGCTAGCAAGAGGCCAAATCCACAGAACAACCACTACTACCCCTCTGTCAGCAGGAAGCAGTTATAGAAGACTGACCTTTGTCTATATTCCCCAAATAATTGGGGTCTTGAACTCATGGTGGGGGAAATGTTACACAAGGTAGATAGTCAGGCATGAGTAGGGCAGGAGAAGGCTCCATGCCCCACATCCCACACCCAGATATGTCAGGCAACCATCAGGTGATGGTCCAGTGGTTGTTAACTGTCTCTCTAAAATAATAATTGGTCACAGCCAGTGCCAGCCAGGTTCAGTCTCCGAATACAAAAAAAAACCAAACCTGAAAATGGTGATCAGCAGCTTCCTGACAAGACCTCAGGAGTTGGGCAAGCAGGCTTAAGCATGTGCATTCAGAGGCAAAATGACAGAGTTTAATTATGATATGAACTTCTAGGGACATTTGACTGGTAAGGGAGAATGCCTTAAGTTAGCATGCATACAACTCTATGCTCACACTACACATGCTCACCTCCCACATGCTAGCAGGCTGCTGAACATGTGGACAGCCCACCCCCATGGGAAGAATCAGGGGAGAATGGACACAAGACCCCAAAATTATGCCTACATATAAAACTCAGTCAAAAGGTCCAACTGCACACTTGATCTCTCAGGTCGCCCACTTGGCCCCCTTCCAAATGCACTTTACTTCTTTTCCCTCCTGCTCTGATGTTTTTAACAAACATTTACTGCTACCCCAAAACTTGCCTTGGTCTCTCCTTCTGCCTTCTGCCCCTCAGTCAAATTCTTTCTGTTGAGGAGGCAAGAATTGAGGATGCTACAGACCTGTACAGATGCACCACCAGTAAAGGCTTTTCACTGATGTTCTAAAATCACAAGGTTACCTAGTTATGGAATCTTGCATCAGACCAGTTTTAATGCAACACTCTCTCATAGCCCTACCTTCACTTAGAAGTTACTTTGCTCTCTTCCAAACATCACAGTTCCAAAATAGAACACAGTGACACAACATCTTTCTTCATTTTTCAGGTAGTTGTGATGTTATGAAGTGTTTAGGTAATCCCAATTTGATGCAGCTAGTCAAATATGTAAAAATGCTATTTTTGTATTACTTAGTAATTTCTACAAAATGTACCACAGATCCTAGTATAAGGCTTAAAGATGGAATTAGCCTCAAAGTGTGAGGCTTGGTGAAAGTACAAGTTTTGAATATGATGCAGTAATAATTTTTGAAAGGTTAATTGTTTATATTTAGACCATGTCAGAATGCCCTTTATTAAAATGCCTATATCAAAACATCATGCAATATATAGGACTTTGGCTCAAGTGGGGGAAAGAAGAAAAGGAAGAGGAGGAAAAGAGGAGTGGTGGTAGTAATCAAATAAATAACAAATGTTCAGTGCTTAATATAAGACCTACAATCTACTAAGCACATTGCAGGTATTCATTCCTTTAATCCTTACAAAAATTCTGAGTGATATAGTGCTATTATCCCAACTACCTTTGAGGAAACCAAGGTACAGAGAGACTAAATAACTTTCCCAAGGTTACACAGCTCGTTCTCAGAGGAGTCAGGAGAATCACTAATAGCAACTAAAATTCAAAAGATATTATGTGTATTTAAAAATGTACTTTTTAAATCTAAAATGAAATTAATGGCTGGAATTCATCAAAGGGTAAGAAAAAAGAGCTAAAAAACTCAGAGAAAGCTCCTTGTGTTTTCTACGAGTCTCATTTTCTCTTGGATTTGCTGAGGACTGCAGTTGAAAGGCACTAAAAAAAAAAAACCTGGTCATTAATAAAGAACTTGCTACTCTTGTTTCAGAATCTCCTCTAGCTTTTCTCAATCCTGTATGTTCCTTGGTTGTCTTTCTAGGCTAAGGTATCCTCCATGATGTTACCATTGCAAGGTGCCCAGATGCTGCAGATGCTGGAGAAATCCTTGAGGAAGAGCCTCCCAGCATCCTTAAAGGTGATAATGGAAAATTCTGAGAGGAGTAAAGAAGACAAACTTGATGTGAAAGAGGAGGGAAAGGGACTGATATTTATGATGCACCTATTTTGAGCCAGGCACTATTTCATGTTTTCTCTCATTTAGTATGCCTTACCTCTCTACAAGATGTTTACTGTCATGTCCATGTTGCTGTTAAGAAAATGAAGACTCAGTTAACTGATTTTCTCAATATATCACAAATACTGAGTTGCAATGCTATGATATGAACATAGTTATGCCTTAGTCTAAACACTGCCTTTTGCTCTGTGCTAACTCAAAAAATTACTTCCTTGCTCCTTTCCAAGAAGCATTTTATAATAACATTTGAAATTTGCCCAGAGTTCTACAAAGTTGGCTGAGGCTGCATATTAATGTTTAACTTGTTTATTACAAAAGGACACTTGCCAGTGAGAGGTTAACTAGAATGAGTCTTCTTTGAAATTAATAACAGATCAATTTCTATTTTAATGTAAATTTCCCAATTGCTCTGAATTGAAGGCAGGTCGAGTTACTTTAGGGCTAGCTCCCAGTATCTCTCTTAACCTGGTATTAATAATTAGAGGTCTAAGAATTAAATAAAACAAATATAAATATATATATATAAATGGATATATATAAATGCCTACATCCAGAACTATGCAAGAGCAGTTCCAATGATAGAGTCAGATTCTTGTCTGTATGTATATATTTAGCAACCAAATGGATATGGCTCACTCCAATGGAACCCAAGTACAATTGTTCATGTATATGTGTGTGTGTATCTCTTTAGTGGACAATTATTTTTACATTTGTATTGTTTTAGAAGACATTCCTATATAGTGCATACATTTCAGGTAAATACATTCAAATTACCCATTCCCTAAATGATTTGTTATTCCCTTCTTTCAGTATAAAGGAGAAAATATTAGCATTCTTTTATTTGTGATTATATAGTTTTATTTTCATTCATCAGAGATGCATTGAGACAACAAGCTTTATTCTTTATTTATTAACAACACAGTATAGCTTCAAGTAAACTAATCCAAATCTAAAGTTACCCACCTTGAAGCTCCTACTAACATTAATCAAAATTACCTAATATTTAAGTGGCTTCACATGACAATCCTTAAGATATAAATAACCTCCCAGAGAGACAGAACATTTTTTTTGGAAGGCATATTAGTTAAGACACTGTATGTATAATTAGTTGAGGTATTTTTATGATTAGTGGCTACTCTTAAAAATTCTCTAGGCTAAACATTTTGTTCAACACTCTGTGATGTAGAATTTTGTGCTTCAAATTTCTCCTTATTCCTTGTGTTAAGTGGATCCTAAACATTTTGAGAAAACTCTAGGTGTTTCCCAAGGATTCCTTCTTGGGACCCCTCTATGGTGAGATAAGGAGGCCCTCATGACTCCTCCCTTTCATGAGGAAATAGCATTCCTCCTCTTTTGTTGTATACTAAAAGACATACATTTTCCCCTAATGGAACTCTAAAATTTTTTATGCCAGTTGCTTTTAATGGAGGTGTCTAACCTAGAATTCACTGTTACTCAACAATTACTTGAGGCCTAGTTAAGAAAATGTCCATCCATTCTTCTGAGTGTTAGATATAAAATGCATAAAGATGTCCACTACAACTGATTCAACTGATAACAGCTGCCTCGCTATGTTCTGTTCACTAGTGTGAAAGGAAAATATCTTGGGCCCCCAAAATCACTAAAGAAAACTCAAGCTGGAAACTGCTTAGGGCAAACTTGCCTCCCATTCTATTTATTCAAAGTTGCTAAGATAGATGCATATCTGATTGCCTCTTTGGAAAGGCTAATCAGAAACTCAAAAGAATGAATTGTTTGTCTCACATATCTGTGACCTGAAAGCTTTCTCCCTGCTTCAAGTCTTCCTGCCATTGCTTCAAAATGTCCCTTCTTCAATATGTCCCACCTTTCCAAACCGAACCAAAGTACTTCTTACATATATTGATCGAGGCCTCATATCTCCCTAAAATATATAAAACCAAGTGTGCCCTGACCACCTTGGGCACATGGCATCAGAACTTCCTGAGGCTGTGTCAGTGGCACATCCTCAACCTTGGCAAAGTGAACTTTCTAAATTAACTGAGACCTGTCTCTGATTTTTGGGGTTTAGATTTTGGTAACCATGGGAGCATTCTGAGTGGAGATGCCCCTGACCTTTGACAAATCTCCTATCGGTGCTTGGTACCAGTATGGCTGACTTTATGGCTCAAACTAATAGGACAATTTGCTGAGGTCTGTGAGCATCCCCTCCAGAGAATCCCTGATCTCCCCAAATTTGGTCAAATTATTAAGTTTATTTATTCCTAATTAGATGGGGAGGAAGGTCTCTTTGAAGAGGAACCTCTACTTTACTTTTTACACAACTAAAGTTAGCATTTAACAACTACCTGGTGTTAATTTCTGCTTACACTTACGGTGCTCAGAAATCATGTAATTTGGGTGATCATTGTTAGTTTTGCTTAACTTTTTTGTTCTTTGTATTTTTCTTGGACAAATTGAAAGGAGAACTCTAAATTATGAGGAACAAGACCTCTGATGTGGGAGGAAAATGGCTAGCAAAAGAGAAAAAAAAAAGATTTTGAATTTTAACTACTAAAGGGGCTTTATTTACATTATAAGGTCACCTTTTTGCCAGCCAGACCAAACTGAAAGAGCAATGGCTGTACTTCTGAAAAAGCAGCATTTGGTCCTAACTGAAATATGGTAATAAGATTTTTTTAAAAAAATTAAGGAGCTCAATTGTTAAAAGTCAGCTTAATTAAAAGGCTAACATCCAAGATGTATGTGTGTATGTGTTCATGTGTGCATGTTTGTATTTGAAGGCCTTCATGTTTTTATTTTTGTTTCTTTTTCTCTCCTAAGACCTTGTCTATTTTCGAGCAAAAGTTTTTTTGTTTTGTTTTGTTTTCCTTCTCAGTTGACTGAATTCTGTTTTCACCTGATTTTTTTTTAACTAAAATAGTTATTGCAACAAAGGCTACGTGGTTATTTAAGAAAAAAATGAAGTTTAATTTTATTTTTAATTTGGCTAAAAGAAAAATAAAAACATCTCCTTCTATCATCACCAGACTTTTTCTCTCTGTACCTTATGTTGTAAATTTTACTATTTGATTTTCACCTGAGTTGTTTCCTTTAATGTGCAAATTTAAGGCTATTTTTCTGACAGCTGCCTAGGGTTTTGAAACAGGTTACCAAGAATCTGAAATTCTAAGATAGAAAAAAAAAGTGGGGTGATCTTTATAAATCTATAAAATGTACTTCCGTTGGCATGCCTAATTCATCTTTATATGTATTTATGTATTGTATACAAAATATTTCACTACTAAAAATATATAAAGTGTTCTAATTAATTGACTTAAAGAAAAAACAAAAGTGCTTAAATGCGATACTAAAAAAGAAAAGACTATTAAAATCCTTTTTCAAGTTTATGTAACTTAAATAAAATCTTTAATAAATAAGCTAGCTTTAAAATTTTTGGTAAAGTAATAGTAGAAATGTCTTAAGAATTACCAGCATACATTTTGTTTGCATTTATTAATCAAGCAAATTTCATACTTATCCCTGCCAAATACTATAAGTTGTCAATGTTTGGCATACAGGTTACATAACTATGAACCCAGCCCCAAACAGGATAATCATTGCTTGTGTAATTTTTAATAAATAATGCATTGATATGGGTTTAATGAAAATAGCTGCATCTTTAATTTAGTAAGATCACCATAACTTCTAATCCTGTGGGTTTAGGCAGTCTGGTCCACAGTCAATAAGGAGGTTTGTTTGGGGAAAAGACTGTTATCCTCTTTGTTTCAAAGCTAAACTATAAACCAAGTTCCTCCCAAAGTTAGTTAGGCCTACGTCCAGGAATGAATGAGGACAGCTTGGACGTTAAAAGCCAGATGGAGTCAGTTAGGTCAAATCCGTTTTCACTGTCTCAGTTATAATCTTGCAATGTCAGTTTTATAACTTTAAATCATGAATATCACAGTTTTCATAAATAATCCAGGTAAACAATTAAAATAATTGGGGTAATGTAATTGGATAAATATTTGTAGGCAAATTGGTCATAATTTAGAGTATGAAATTATATTAAATTAAATAATAGACATTTCATTATTTGGGTATCTTCCCATAAAAATATATTGTAGGAAAATATTCTTGCTAAAAAATAAACAAAACTGTGTGTGTGTTTTTTAAAGAGGTGAACAAGTTTTTTTCCAATTCAAAGCTTATTTAAAGGTTATGTATAAAACAAGGTAAAAGGGACTAGGACTAAAAAAAGATATGAAAAAGCTATTTTTAACAAAGGTTTTTTTAGGTAAAAAAGCTTAAAGAGAAATAATTTTATATAAGACAGAATCTTGTGTGGTAAATTTAATCCTAAACTAAAATAAGTGGTTGTTTAAAAAAGAGGGATGTTCAGGACAAACCAGAAATTCCAAGCATGTCATGAACAGTCGGTGTAAGTCACAATAAGAGGATTTCTATATTTAAAAAGTTTATATGATCAAGTTATCATATTAAGTTTTCATTTGCTTAGAAAAAAACTGAGATAAAATTTTTTAATTAAGATTATTACATCCATGTATCTTCCTGTATATGCTTTTAAAGTCCTTCTAACATTGAATCACAGAGCTTTAACTCCTGCATCTATAAAGCATACCAAGTCCTGCTAAATTTTAAACACTGACAGCAATTAAAGCCTCATCTTCAGGCCCTGTAGAAAATGCCAATCAAAATAAACTGCCTTCCTGAGACACAGGGCAATAAATTAAAGCTACTCAACTCCTCAAGGCCCAGGGACTATCATGGAGGAGTTGGGCATGTAAGAGTGTAATGCCTGATTTTGAAAGATAAAATAAGTTTCATTTCTCCGTAAATTAATCATTAATGTCAAAGGAACACTGATGAAAAACCAGCATATAGACCCCTGTGGCAGATTAACAAGGCTCTCTTGAAGCATTAACCAACTCTTTAATAAAGGTTATAAGAGGCTTAAGGAAGTTACATTTTATAATATAGATTAAATTTTATAGATTGTTTACAAATTTTGAAAAACAAATGTAATTAGCTTCATGCTGTTTTTATTGGGGCTTCTTGTTTAGAAAATTAAATTTCCTTTCTCAAAAAATGAAGGTTTTCACTGTTTTTTGAAGTCTTTGACTTTCACTTTAGTTAAATAAATGACTTTAAAATGACCTATAATCCTATTTTGTAATTTCAAGTGTTTTAAACTTACATTTGACAACTTTCCAAAATTGAACTATAAATTATGTCTTTTTCTGACCTGATTAATTCTTTAAGACAGTAGGTTCCCCTAAGTACAAAAATGACACAATTTGGCTTATTTGGTATAAAAATTATACAGAAGGCATTGCCAAATATGAATTGGTGTTTGGTTTTCTTTGGGCTGTCTTTGTATAAATATGTTATTGGTATGTGTTCCAAAATTATGGGAAACTCCTGTAATTATAATATAATTTAGTATACATTATCAATAATAATCATATTGTGTGCCACAGAGGTAATAAATTTTCTTGTCAATTGTATCTTTTGACAATGGCTGCCTTAAACCTTTTTTTAATCCATGGAAAATTATTGTCTTGTTTTGGTCATCTTTAGAAGGTGGTTTTATAATCAGCTATAAAACTCCAACAGGTGCTCTTAAATGTGGGTTTCTGATACTGTGTGCCACAGAAGTAATAAATTTTCTTGTCAATTGTGTCTTTTGACTATGGCTGCCTTAAACCTTTTTTTCATCCATGGAAAATTGTTGCCTTGTGTTGGTCCTCTTTAGAAGGTGGTTTTATAATCAGCTATAAAACTCCAACAGGTACTCTTAAATGCAGGTTTCTGATAACTTTGGAGATTGTGACATCAGAATAGAGAAAAAACTTTCAGGACTCATAGAGAGATAAAATGTTAATGAGTATCAAGCAAAATAGGAATTAACTACATGGACTGAACCAATCTTTTTCACATTTTACTTAAAATGTTTGCTGATCCTTTGATTTTCAGTCTTAAAACTTTTCTTTTGAGCTATTGACAGCTTTTAACAATTTAGTATACTCCTATGAACAAACTTTGGAGCATGTTTGTTTCTCTCTACCTCACTTCTCCAGAATTTGGAAATTGTGAGTATTCTTAACTTATGGTAATACATTTATTTGCATAAGTGCAATAAGAATCTGTTTTCATTTGTAACAGGAAACAATTGGAGAAACTGGTTATTTTACTAAGGCTTTAACTGCTTTCCTTTAAGAAATCAAACTTGACTTCTGGAGCCAATAAAGCCCTTGAAAAAAATGTCCATATATTTTGTGTACACAGTCCCTGTACAGGATTTCTGACTGTGGTAAATAAAGAATGTCACTTTCTAACAGACACAGAAGCCCCAGATTTAACATGGAACCTCAAGAGGAGAAGAAATTCATCCAACTCATAGGTATTTGATGGCACAAATTCATGGCTAGGTTTTGCTATAAAAAGTCTTATCTGAGACTCCTCCTATGGAACAAAGTTTCATCAAAGCCAATTTAAAAGCCTATTTAAAAAATAATTATTCTTGCTGCACTGTATACAAATAATTAGGCCAAGTATAATAAAGCAAACCAGTCCTACCATAATTTGTTTTTAGTAAAAATGGGAAACTGGAGAGAGAAAAAGACTATATTTCAAGACTATAGTACACCTGTTGTTAGATTCTAGTCTCGCCTAATGTTATTTTTCAATTTTTATTATTTTCTACAATTTGAACTGAATTCTATTTTTCTTGGCTACAAGTCTTCAAAATAATGTTTTAAATTTATTTTTCTTCTTTTTTTTTCATTTTTCCTAATTTGAAATAACTGAAAACTAAGCTGTGCTTTCTTAAAACCCTGAAAACTGAAGCCAAACAACTTAAACTTCAGAAAAAAATAACAGCAACCTGTTTACATACATAAGCCACTTTCATACCTGCCTATTAATGTATGGATTTTAGAATAATGTGGCCTATATCTATTTTTCCAGGATTGTTCTTTTGTTTGTTGTTGTTTTTTCTCCCTTTCACCCTATTTTCTCTTCATAGGACATGAGACTTCACAACATGCTAAAAATGAGATTTTGGGACCTACCCATCTAGAAATAAACTGTCCTAGCCGTAAGACATTAAATGAAACCTGAGACCAGAGACTCATTTTATTGTTAAATGCTTTCTCCAAAAGATTTTACAAAAAGGATGGGGGGCATATAAAAGGAAAATATCTTGGGCCCCCCCAAATCCCTAAAGAAAACCCAACCTGGAAACTGCTTTGGGTAAACTTGTCTCCCATTCTATTCAAAGTTACTAAGAAAGATGTATATCTGATTGCCTCCTTTGGAAAGGCTAATCAGAAACTCAAAATAACACAACCATTTGTGTCTCACCTATCTGTGACCTGAAAGCTTCTTCCCCACTTCAAGTATTCATGCCCTTGCTTCAAGAAGTCCCACTTTTCCAAACTGAACCAGTGTACTTCTTACATATATTGATTGAGGTATCATATCTCCCTAAAATGTAGAAAACCAAGCTGTGCCCAGCCACCTTGGGCATGTGTCGTCAGGACTTCCCAAGGCTGTTTCACGGGTGTGCACTCAATCTTGGCAAAATAAACTTTCTAAATTAACTGAGACCTGTCTTAGATTTTCTGGGTTCACACTAGGTTTGGGGTCCAGTAGGACTAAAAAGGATTTTAATAAATTAGGCCACAACAATGAGAAAAAATAAGAGTTTCACATATTTTCATTTTTGCAATGGATAATATTATAGTGTAAATACATTTTAATAGGCCCCAGGTACAAATGTGTAAAAATGTAACCACTATATTTTGCCAAAACTGTACTAAATTTCTATATTAAGCCTCCACTCATGGCTGAAAACAGAATTAATTCAGATAAACTCAGACTTAGTCGATTTAGAGTTTTTTTCACCTTCATTCCCTAGTCTAACATCAGTATTTCATGTGGGGTAGGGGCAGCAGGAGGGAAATATACTGGTATGGTTCTATCATCTATCCTTGATGGAAAGCATTCAAGTGCACAGCACCTTTTTGGTGTATTTCCATGCTGATATCAGCTGAAACTTCATGTTCACAATGGTCACGAGATCTATGCTGACATCCACTACTGCATACCACAACCCCAAAATCATAAGGACACTTACTGTCTGTGGGGTTTACTCTCACTCATTCTCACCTCCTACCCTCTCTTTCACCCCTCTCTCTCATTAGTTTGTCCAACAGGGCAAGGGTGGGGATCTAAGAATGGACCCAGGCTAGGGGACCCCAAGCTTATTCTCTTGAGCAATAGGCTATAGTCTCTGCTGACTGATAAGAATTCAGTTAAGCTCTCCAGAGAGTTATATGGAAACAATGCTAAAGAGTTTTAAACATGTATATAGCCTTTAAACCAGCAATTACTCTTCTGGATATTGTAAGAAAATGGTAGGTACCCATGCAAAGATTCCTGTGAAAGAACATTCTATAAAGAATTATTTATTTGAGTGAAAAGTTGAAAACAGCTGAGATGTCATCAACTGGCAAGTGATTAACTGTGATGCATCCATGTAATGAAATTTTATTCAGCCATTAAAAGTAATTGAAAATTATTTTGTATGCTTGTGAATAGAGAAATAGGTACACAATATGTTCAATGATGAAAAATAGCAAATATCAGTAATTTTATTATTGAACAAAAATCTGTTTAATCTAAAGGCTCTGATGGACAAGTGGCCTGATTTTAATACAGTGGTTGTCTGCCCTCTGTGTACAGATTAAAAAATAGCACACAGAGATTCTTTGACTTAGATTCTCCATTTGGCTACTTTGTATCATAAAATGTCATGATTTTATAGAAATAATTTTTGTCCTAATCAAGCAAGAAACTTTACTGTTTTTTTCAAATAAACCAACCCTGTCAATTTCTTGGGATCCTGCAGGTTTATGGAACTGTCTTTCACATAAACCATGGAAATCCATTCAATCTGAAGGCTGTGGTGGACAAGTGGCCTGATTTTAATACAGTGGTTGTCTGCCCTCAGGAGCAGGTAAGTTTCCATGTGTGAATATTCTTCTATATTTATATTAGCTGTGTGCCTATTACATTCTTAGCAATATGGTAGAGCCAGGGCATGCAGAAGTAAATCATAGTAATAGTCAACAAGTCCCCATCCTCAAGAAGCTCGGAGTCTGAAAGACAAGATAGATCAACCAATAAAGTGTGAAGTATACAAGAACAGAAGATAAACAGGATACAGAAAGAGGCCAAATAAAACTTGATTAAACTATGGAAGTCAAAGGTGGGGCTACCCGATAAGTTCAGTATACTTCTTGGTGGAGATTTCATCTGAACTGGATTTTGTAGGAAAAATATGCTTTTGTCAGGATTACAAGGAAAAGTGGACATTCTAAGCAGAGAAAATAGCAAGAGCACAGATATAAAGTTGTAAAAAAAAGGACAATGAGTTAGAGTGACTATTGTTTTAGTCCGTTCTCATGCTACTAATAAAGACATATGTGAGACAGGGTAATTTATCAAGGAAAGACGTTTAATTGACTCATAGTTCAGCATGGCTGGGAAGGCCTCGGGAAACTTACAGTCCTGACAGAAGGGGAAGCAAACACGACCTTCTTCACATGGTGGCAGGAGAAAGAATGACAGTCAAGCAAATGGGGAAGCCCCTTATAAAACCATCAGATCTCATGAAAACTTACTATCACAAAGACACGGTGGGGGAAACCACCCCAATGATTCAATTGTCTCCATCTGGTCCCTCTCATTACACGTGGGGATTATGAGAACTATAATTCAAGGTGAGATTTGGGTGGGGACACAGCCAAACCATATCAACTATGAAAAGCAAAACTATAATGATAGAACTTCTATACACATTTGAGGAAACACTTAAAATTATTGAAACTAAACAATTAACACATTTCAAGATAAAAATGCATAAGCTTATTTCAAAACATCAGAAAACACAAATATACTTTTAATGCTAATAAAGTTATTTAAAAATCACTTTGTTGTGAGAACACTTAAAATCTACTCTCTCAGCAATTTTCAAGAATACAATACATTGTTATTAACTATAGTCACCGAGTTGTACAATATGTCTCTTGAACTTATTCCTCCTATTATAACTATTATAACTGAAGTTTCATATCTTTTGACTAACAACTACCCAATTCCTCTACTTTCCCCCACCTTACCTGCTGATAACTACCATTCTACTCTCTACTTCTATGAGTTCACCATTTTTACATTCTACATACAAAGGAGATCATGAGGTATCTGCCTGTGTTTGGCTTATTTCACTAAGTATAATGTCCTCCAGGTTCAACATAGGGGAAGCAATATGTATGCTAATTACCCTGATTTAGCCATTTCAAAATGTATACATATTTCAACACAACATATTGTTAATAAATATATGCAATCATTTATTTGCCAATCAAAATAAAAAAATAAACAATATATGAAATGAATAAATTTATGGTATGAAAACTAAACTGAAATAAAATTATTTGATCTTTTATTAAATGTGGTCTTAAGCAACAAAATGTGTCAGTGGTATCATTGCTGACTTGTGAGTGGGTTTTTTGTGCAACATTTTCCAACTTTTTAAAAAGTTTTTTAATTCTATAATAGTTGTGGTAATATTTTCATCCACCTTCTTCCTGTAAATAATTGTATCTGTCATTTACTAATTTGAGAAGCTCTTTCCGTGTAAGTGGATTGTTTGTTTCTCTGGAACTGCAACTGGTTTAACCAACATATTTTTTAAAGAAGGCATTTTGAATTAGTTTTTAATCTTCTTTGGTATCAATATCAAGTTTCATACTGCCATGGTCATAGTTTGTGTATTCTGCAAGTCTTTGAACTGTAGTAAAATTTATTCTTGTGACATAAGCTTTCCCTTGTCAATTGCCTTTCTCTTCTTCCTGTTGAGGATGATGGTGGTAAGAAGAATGCTTTCTAAATGGTTATGTCTTTTATTTGAAATTTTAACGTGATATGTGGATAATGAATAGTATTGTTCTGGAATTTTCCAACATAAATTGAATATTTGATCTTTATCTCATTATTTAAAGAATTCAGAAATAATTATATGCATACAAACCCACAGTTAGATAAAGGAAATAAGTTCTAATGTTTAACATAGGATGACTATAGTTAACAGCAATGTATTGTATATTTCAAAGTAGATTGAAGGAGGACTTGAAATGTTCTCAACACATGGAAATAATAATTATTCTGGATGATGAAAACTATGACTTGATCATTAAACATTCTATGCACATAACAAAATATTACACATTTTTTACAAATATTATGTATCAATAAAAAAGAAATAATTGTGATACACCAATAAAACTACCAATATTTTATTACTTAGAAATATCACAGTATAAAATTATATGTAATCATAAAATATAAGGATGTGTTTTATTTCCTTTTTCCTAATGATAACAGGATATGACAGATGACCTTGATCACTATACCAATACTTACCAAATCTACTCCAAAGATCCCCAAAACTGTCAGGAATTCCTTGGATCACCAGAACTCATCAACTGGAAACAGCATTTACAGATTCAAAGTAAGTAAGAGGAATGGGATGTGTGCTGACTCACTTATGTGTCCTGAGCAAGTTTTCATATGACTTATACCTCCTTCCTCCAAGCTCCAGACTCCCAGCCTGCTGTCAATTTTGTTACTGTGTGGTAACTATATCTGTAAAAGGTGGTGGACAGCGTGGGAAACCCTAAAATTTGCAAAGAATGGGCTTCATAAAGGGAACTATAGTATAATTCCTTGGTACCAAGGATTTATGACATATTTTGCAGCTGTATCCAGACCTTTTAGGGTGATTGGATGCTGAAGAAGAGCCTTCCCTCTGGACTTCTATTCCTGTAATAAAAATGATAGCTTATTTGGCCATAGAATACTTCCCAGGTCACCAAGAACAACTATCATGGTTCCAACTATGCTCTCTGGAGATTCTCTAGGATGGCATTTGCCTATTACTTGCTGTATAATCTTAGTTAAGTGATTTAATCTCTCTGAGATTATGTTCCTCATATATAAAAATGAGGAAAATAATGTTACCTAAAACACAAGGCACTGAAAAGATTAAATGAAAGTGACTAGGAAGTGCTTAGCATAATACTTAGACATATTAGTTAATGTTTGCTGCATAGCAAACCTAATAATTCTGTGAATCAACCATTTGGGCTGAGCTTTGCAAGGCAGTTCTTCCACTGGTCTTATCTGGGTTTACTCATGTAGCTGTAGTTGATGGGTGGACCATGGCTGATTGCTCTTACACGGCCTCACTCACATGCCTGAATGAGAGTTCTGCTGTTAGTTCATGACAGCTGGTGACTGTGGTGACAGCATGATGGCAACATGTGTCGCTAGCAGGCTGGCCCAGGCCTATCTTAATGGTATTGGTCTTAACATAATTGGTCTTAACCAGGAGCAAAAACAAAGGGAAAGCCCCAATGGGGCAGGCACTTTTAAGCCTCTCCTTGCATTAAATTTGCTCTTTCCATTGATGAAAGATGGTCAATGTGGCCAAGGTAAGTTGCAGCAGAGGAGGGGACTATCTGGGGAATGGATTCCAGGAGATATGTGCAAATCATGGGTCATTGCCTCATATTATTACACTAGGAATGTAGCTTAGTAGATGTTACCTACCGTTTTTTAAATTTACCTACTAGGATTATCAAAATTGCTACACAATTACGCAGCCCAGAAAACTTGGTTCCAGTGCAGATACTGCTGTTAATAACACAATCATAACTGAATCCATCCCTAAGCATGTTTTTGCTTAGGTAAAACAGAAAAAATTACACAAATCCTTACTGTTTGAAATGCTTCTTCCCCAGTGCTGTAAAGAAATAGCACTTGAACATAAATTTAATTTCCTCAGTAAGGCCATTTTTACTTTCTGCAGAAAGGGTACACTCACCAGCAATTTTGCCATGAGAACTGAACAGAGGAGACAGGGTTATGTATAACCTGACATGTCCACCCTACTGTTGTGTCTGGTTTCCATTGGCTGGAACAGGGCCTCACATTCTGCATTTGTCCCAACTGGCTAGCAACTTAAAACCTTTTAAAAGAGATAAAGGCAGAGGAGAACAAAGGAAGGGGCAAGTAACTTGTGGAATGCTGAGAAAGGTAAAACATCTCCAAGTAAGGAAGAGGAACAGGCTATGGCCTAATGCTTGCTTGGACCAGTATAAGTATGCCAGGGTAAATATTTAGGCTAAACTGTGGGAGCTAAGAACACAAAGTACATTGATTTCTTTATTATCTTCTAGCAGTTATCTAAGAATGCTAGCACAGGTCTTTGAATAAATTTTGCTTCTAGAGGAAGTTACTATTGATTCTTAATTAGATGGGGAGGGAAGTCTTTTTGAAGAGGAATCTTCACTTTTTAAATTACTATTGACATGGGTCACACAGTGGTAGCACCAAGCCCAGAACCAAGATTTTATGATACTAAATCCCAGACACTTCTTACTCCACTGCAGAACTTCAGTCTAGAATATACCTAAACCATTTCATCTCTGTTTATTATACCGTCTAGGTTCACAGCCTAGCCTGAATGAGGCTATACAAAATCTTGCAGCCATTAAGTCCTTCAAAGTCAAACAAACACAACGCATTCTCTATATGGCAGCTGAAACAGCCAAGGAACTGACTCCTTTCCTGCTGAAATCAAAGATTTTATCTCCCAATGGTGGCAAACCCAAGGCCATGTGAGTTTGATAAAATCCAGTCTATACCACTCACACCTCTCAAGTAACCTCCCAACTTCTCTCCCTGCATTCACTCTGGCTTTCCTACAATCAATGTTGTACAAAGAAATCAGAATTACATTTTTAAAAAATGTAACTCAGAACATGTTTCTCTCCTGCTTAAAAGACTCCACCATCTCCCTTCTCATCTAGAATAAACCAGGCCTCTGGCTACCACTTGGACCTTTATTGCCCTTCCTGCTTTCTTCCTCCAACAGCTCTGACCTTCACTCTGTTCCTCTTTCATCACAAGCTCATCTATATTCCAGGACTTCACATTTGTTATTTCTTCTGTCTACTCTGTCTCTCAAGACAATAGAGGTCACAGCAAATACAAACCTTTATACTAATGGATTTTGTTTTCTTCTTGGACCCTCCATAGCAACCAAGAGATGTTTAAACTCTCATCCATGGATGTTACCCATGCTCACTTGGTGAATAAATTCTGGCATTTTGGTGGTAATGAGAGGAGCCAGAGATTCATTGAGCGCTGCATTCAGACCTTTCCCACCTGCTGTCTCCTGGGGCCTGAGGGGACCCCTGTGTGCTGGGATCTAATGGACCAGACTGGAGAGATGAGAATGGCAGGCACCTTGCCGGAATACCGGCTCCATGGCCTTGTGACGTATGTCATCTATTCCCACGCCCAGAAATTGGGCAAACTTGGGTTTCCTGTCTATTCTCATGTAGACTACAGCAATGAAGCTATGCAAAAAATGAGTTACACACTGCAACATGTTCCCATTCCCAGAAGCTGGAACCAGTGGAACTGTGTACCTCTGTGATGCCAATCCTGAACATAAGACAGTGTTGGGCAGGTCTGGGCGTATAATTTGAGGAGTGGATGGTGGATGAAAAGAAATAATAAATTGTAATCAGCAGTAAAGGAGTGGGCACTGTTTGGACTCTGGGGAAGCAGTGTGATGTTCAACAGCATCGCCATGGTCCCTGCATTCACAGGTTTCTCAGTGGGAAGCAGGCCCAGGTCCTCTTACATTTGACATAAGCAATTTACCTCCCCACATTTCCAGGACCTCTATGACACTTCATCAGATACATATTGCTCCAAATTACTTCTCCTGGAATCCCTGGTTCCTCAGTTGCAAGACCCTTGCCAGTTTTTCTGGGAGCTAGGAAGAGGTGAATTAAATTTTCTGAGCACTATGACTTCTTTCTTTCTAAAGCCTTTCCCTTATGATCAACAAGTGGACTCTCCTCAGCAGGTCTTTAGAGATTATCCTCTCCTGTTATTGCTACTTTATAGGTACATTAAATATACTGGACACAAATATATATGGGATATTAGGCTAAATACAGTATACATGATATAGCAGGGAATGTTACTAGAAGAAATATCAACTGATGATATCCTATCCTCTCCAAGCTCCTATTCCAGGAAAAAAGATCCAATGTTTTTTCTAAAGATGAGCTTCCAAAACCCACAACTCCTAAATAATACAGAAAGTTTTGTGTTTGACTGTATACAATTTTTATTGTGTTTGTTCAAGCTAAGTGGTTCATCATGGTGACAGCATGAAAGGAATGAGTGTATGAAAAGGTGAAGGTGGGAGCACCTTGACCCAGGGATGTGATGGTTTATTGAGGAGAGATAGGAGTTGAAGGGAGAGGAGACAGCATGAACACCTGCTTGTCCAATTAGCCTCAGCACATTACTAATCTCAGTTTGTTCCTGCTGTAACAAAATACCTGAGACTGGGTAATTCATAAATAACAGTCTGAACTTATTTGTTTATTTAAAATAATAATAAAATAATTAAAAATTTATTTATCACAGTTCTGGAGGCTGGAAGTCTAAAATCATGGTGCCAGCAGATTTGGTGTCTGTGAGAATCCAGTCCCTGCTTCCAAGGTGGTGCATTATTGCTGTGTTATTTGTAGGGGATGAACACTGTGTCCTCACATGGCAGAAAGACAGAAGAGCAAAAAGGAGCCCAGCTAATTTCCTCCAGTCCTTTTTCCTTCAGGCACAAATCCCATCCATAAGGGTGGACGTTCTTGTGGCCTAATTATCTCTTAAAGACTATCTCTTAATACTGTTACATTGAGGATTAAGTTTCAACATGAATTTTGGAGGAAACACAAACATTCCAATTATAGCATTACTTCAGAATGCCTGAACTCTATTAAAAGTTTAGATAATTGTCTCAAACAAGAGTCAGTTGAGGGGGAACAAGAGAGATAATCTTTCAGGTTGCAACAGGTTAGGACAGCTTTCTATTTTTTTTTTCTTTTTTTGAGACAGAGTTTCGTGCTGTCACCCAGTCTGGAGTGCAGTGGCATGATTTTGGCTCACTGCAGCTTCCACCTCTCAGGTTCCAGCGATTCTCCTGTTTCAGCCTCCAGGGTAGCTGGGATTACAGGCATGTGCTATTGTACCGAGCTATTTTTTGTATTTTTAGTAGAGATGGGGTTTAACCATGTTGGCCAGTCTGGTCTAGAACTCCTGTGAAAGGGGAACAATAAATGTTAATCACCTACAGATTGTGTTTGCTCCAGGCTTTCGGCATTGTGCTTGTGCTGAATAAAAGCAAGCAGCTCCAGCTTCTCAGGGCTGCATTCTGGCCACTTGAGCCAGGCAGTTACCTAGCTGCTCTTACACTGCATATCTGTGTCTGAGTACTCATTTCATCCATCAGTTGTCTGTCCCACAGACCCAGCATTGAATGTTTAACCTATTCCCAGACATCTTGGAGGCTTTGTTCATTGTTAAAAATTCTTTGTTCTTTGCCTTTGACATATTGGGTTATTCGAAAGCCTTGTCTTCAAGCTCTGAAATTCTTTCTTCTGCTTGTTCAATTCTATTGCTGAGATTTTCCAGTGCATTTTGCACTTCTCTAAGTGTGTCCCTGATTTCCAGAAGTTGTGATTGTTTTTTATTTATGCTATCTATTTCACTGAAGAATTTTCCTTTCATATTATGTATCGTGTTTTTTATTTCTTTCTCTGGTGTCTCCTTGATTAGCTTAATTATTGACCTCTGAATTCTTTTTCTGGAAATTCGGGGATTTTGCCTTTGTTTGGATCCATTGCTGGTGAGCTGGTATAATCTTTTGGGGGTGTTAAAGAACCCTGTTTTGTCATATTACCAGAATTGTTTTTCTGGTTCCTTCTCATTTGGGTAGACTATGTCAGAGGGAAGATCTGGGATTCAAGAGCTGCTGTTCATATTCTTTCGTCCCATGGGGTGCTCCTTTGATGTAGCATTCTCCCCCTTCCCCTGGGAATGGGGTTTCCTGAGAGCCAAACTGTAGTGATTGTTTTTGCTCTTCTGAGTCTAGCCACCCAGTGGAGCTACCAGGCTCCAGCCTGGTACTGAGGAGTGTCTGCAAAGAGTCCTCTGGTGTGAACTGTCTTCCAGTCTTGCAGCTATAGATACCAGCACCTGCTTCAGTGGAGGTGGCAGGGTAGTGAAGTGGACTCTGTGAGGGTCGTTGGTTGTTTTTGTTTAGTGCACTCATTTTGTGTTGGTTGGCCTCCAGCCAGGAGGTGGCACTTTCAAGAGCACATTAGCTGCAGTTCTATAGGGAGGATGCAAACTTGCCCTAGGGACACCTGGTTAAGTATTCAGGTTTCTCAGGTGGTGGTCAAGGCCATAGAGCTCTCAAGAGATTATGAGAGCTCTCATAATCTTGTCTTTGGCTACCAGTGTGGTTAGAGAAAGACCACCAGGTGGAGGCAGGGATAGGCATGTCTGAGCTCAGCCTCCCCTTGGGCAGGGCTTGCTGTAACTGCTACTAGGGATGAAGGTGTAGTTCTCAGTCCAATGGAGTTATATTACCAAGAGGATTATGGCTGCCTCTGTTGAATCATACAGGTCACCAGGGAAGAAGCCAGCAGTCATAGGCCTCACCCCACTCTCTGCAACCCACAGTCCCAAAGGCTGGTCTCACTCCCACCATGCCCCCCAACAGCACCAAGTCTATTTCCAGGTAGCCAGTTACCAGGACTCAGAGCTTGCCCCAGACCACAAGCCTCCCCATTGAGAAAGCAAACAGACTCACTGTTTTTCAGTGTCTCAGGGAGCCTGCAGAGGTAATCCAGTTTCTTCAAATGGTCTGTGGATTCTCTCAGCTTTCCTGGTATGTACCCACGGTAGTTCTTGGAGCAGAATTTCAGGATGTGAGTCTTCATACACGGCTCTGTCCATCCGAGTGGGAGCTGCAAGCTAGTCCTGCCCCCTATCTGCCATCTTAATCTCAATTCCTAGGTTGTTAATTTGAGATCTTGCTAACTTTTTGCTGTAGGCAGTCAGTGCTATAAACTTTCCTCTTAACACTGCTTTGGCTGTATCCCAGAGGTTTTGGTATGTTTTGTCTCTATTTTCATTAGTTTCAAAGAATATTTTGATTTCTGCCTTAATTTTATTGTTTATCCAAAATTCTTTAGGAACAACTTCTTTCATTTCTATGTATTTGTGTGGTTTGAGAATTCCTCTTGGTATTGATTTGTATTTATATTCCAGTGTGGTCCAAGAAGATGCTTGGTATGACTTTCAGTTTTTTTAAATTCACTTTATGACTAAACATGTGGTCAATCTTAGAGTACATTCCATGTGCAGATAAAAATAATGTATATTCTGTGGTTGTTGGGTGGAGTATTCTGTAGCTGTGTATTAGGTCCATTTGGTCAAGTGTTCAATTTAAGTCCAGAATTTGTTAGTTTTCTGCCTCGATGGTCTGTCTAATGCTGTCAGTGGGGTATTGAAGTCCCCTCACTATTATTGTATGGTTTTCTCACTTTTTTGTAGGCCTAATGGTATTTGTTTTATAAAACTGGATGCACTGGTGTTGGGTGCATATATATATATATACACATATTTACATATGTATATATTTAATTTTTATCTTAAGTTCAGGGGTACATGTGCAGGATGTTGTTAAATCTTGCTGAAGTGAACCTTTTATCATTATGTCCTTTTTAATTATTATCATCCATTTTTATTGTTATTGGTTTAAATTCTCTTTATATGTTACAAGAATAGTGACCCCAGCTCTTTTGTGTTTTCCATTTGTGTAACAGATCATTCTCCATCCCTATACTTTGAGCCCATGGGTGTCATTACATATGAGATGAGTTTCTTGAAACAGGAGAATGTTGGGTCTTGTTTTTTATCCAACTTGCCATTCTGTATCTCTTAAGTGAGTGTTTAGGCTGTTTATGTTCAAGATTAATATTGATATGTTAGGTTTTTTTCTTGCCGTGTGGTTATTAGGTATCTGTGTTGCATTTCTTGATTGTATAGTTGCTTTATTGAGTTTGTAAGTTTTGTACTTATGTGTGCTTTCCTGGTAGCAAGTATTGTTCATTCATTTCCATGTTTACAACTCCTTTGAGCATTTCTTTGTAAGTCCAGTCTGATAGTGACAAATTCCCTTAACATGTGCTGGTCTTGGAATAGCTTTATTTCTCTTTCCTTTATGAGGCTTGGTTTGGTGGAAAATGAAAATGAAATTCTTATCTGGCATGTTTTTTTCTTTAAGAAGACTAAAAATAGGCTCCCAATCTCTTCTGGCTCTATTGACCTTGGATAGCTTTATGACTATATTCCTTGGGGATGATTGTCTTGTATAGTATCTTACAGGAGTTCTCTGAACTTCTTGTATCTGCATATAGACCTGTCCAGCAAGATTGGGGAAATTTTCCTGAATTAAACCCTCATATATGTTTTCCAGGTTGCTTGTTTTCTTCTCTTAGGAATGTCAGTAAGTCATAGGTTTGGTCACTTTACATAATATCATAGATCTTGAAGGCTTTTTCATTTTTATTTTTTATTTTTTGTCTGACTGGATTACTTGAGAACCCTTGTCTTCAAGCTCTGAAATTCTTTCTTCTGCTTGGTCTACATTATGGTTAAAGTATACAACTGTATTTGGAAATTTCTGTAGTAAATTTTTCTATTCCAGAAGTTCTGTGTGGTTCTTTCCTAATATATAGCTATGTTGTCTTTCATGCTCTGAATCTTTCTTCTGTCTTCTCTGTATTTGATTTCAACTTTCTCTGGCAGATTGTTGAGTTTCCTTGCCATCCATATTCTGAGTTCTATATCTGTCATCTCAGCCGTTTCAATCTGGTTAGGATCCAGTGCTAGGAAGTGAGTGCAGTCCATTGGAGGTGATGGAACACTCTTGTCTCCTGTACCACTGGGGTTCTTATGCTGCCTTCCTAACCAAGGAAGCTGATGCTTCTTTTATTGAATTTGCTTCATTTGGATGGGGATTTTTTTTTATTTTTTCCCTTGAGGATATGACTCTGGTGTGTGTTGTATATAATCAATTGGCTTTGTTTCTGGGGGCTTTCAGAGGGCCAATATTCTGTACATGTTCCTCAGTGGCAAATAAATTCATGAGGTGACTATCACAGATGTTGTTTGTAATAGCAATTTTTTTTGTTTGTTTATGCAATTCAGGCTACACTCTTTAATAGTAAGAGCCAGCAGGTAGCCTGGTGCCCAGTGTATGCACCAGCACTGCTGAGGGTAGCAGGAAGAAATTGTGATGGGCAAGTGCTGAAGTCTCAGGGGAAGGGGAAGGGAGTGGTCACCCTCTCCTTATCCTAAGCCATCAGGATTGTGCTCCATTTCCTTATTACACCCCTGTCTTGGGTCTCATGACCTTCTGTTTATAAAGGTCATGAGACTTTTGTAAGTCTCATGTGTAGCCGTTGGTCATAGATCTGTCTCTCCGATGGCTACCACTAGGATGGGGGCTGGGGCAGAGCTTCTTCCCACAGTCCAGGTGAGGCAACTCCATAGACTTCCCTCCATTGCCAGCGTGCTGCTGCTCTGTACAGGGAGAGGAAGCTGGATCCTACCCTTCAAGAATGCTTGAGTAGGCACAGGCTCACTTTCAGTGGGAGTAGATCTGCCAGAAAATGGTGTTCTTCCTGCAAACGCTGACCAGGCCCCAATGAGAAGAACTGTCGCTGCATCCACAAGAGTGCACTTGGGTACAGGGACAGGGGCAGAGAGATGACTCCTCTCTCCACATCTGTTTCTGGCTTTGGCAGTGGCTCCATCAGCAGTTGGCACCATGCCTATGTTTTCTTTATCCCAAGTGGAGGCCATGCTCCGCCCTCCCTTAGGGGAGATCTGGGCTGAAGGTTACATTTCCAGGGTACCACAATTCCCAGGGGACCCACCAGTCCCCTGTGCTTGCCAAAGTCAGAGTGGGTTGTAGAGAATGTCTGCAGGTCATCTGGTGGTGCAGAGGCTCAAAGGCAAAGGATCCCCAGGCAGGGGGTGGTACCACAAATGCACAACTCATATGGTACCCACTGTCTCAGCCTGTGTCTGAGTGGGGTGTGGTATGGCTCTGTGAGCTGGCCACCCTGTTCTCTATTCCCACGCAATTCACCAATCACCAGTGATATTGTTGTCCTGTATTGGGAGGTGAGAGAAGCTCCCTGACCATTTAGCATTTAGCAGATTGTCAGAGGGGTTTGGGGAGCAGAAAAGCCCTCCCATCTATACTTTCCACTGGGCTCTGAGTTCCTTTGGGTTGATCTCATCCAGACGTTTGCTGCTTTTCTTCTGTGCACCCCAGCTTCTTCCTGACTGGTCCTGGCTCTCTTTTTCTCTGTTTTCCATTCAAATCTTAATGATTCAGTGGTAACTTTATCTTCCTTCTGAGGAAAACTTGCTTGTGATATCCCTAGACAGCCAACTTGAAGGAAAAAAAAAGTGGCTAATTAAGAATAATTTTTTTGTAGAGACAAGGTCTGGCTACATTGCTCAGGCTGGTGTCAAACTCCTGTCCTCAAAAAATCCTCCCACCTCAGTCTCCCAAAGTAGTGGGATTATAGACATGAGCCACTGTACCTGCCTTATGAATGAATTTATACCTGCTGAAAAGAAGAGAGCAATCAGAAGATTTTCAATATGTATAACTGTGATATCCTGTATTACTTGAATAAAAATGAATCAAACAGAGATTCTAAAAACTAAATATTAGAACTCTGAATTAAAATCTTAATATATGAACTGAATAGCCAGGTGGACACAGCTCATAGATAATTAGAAAGCTAGAGGCAGAGTGCCATGGCTCACACCTGTAATCCCAGCACTTTGGGAGGCCGAGGCAGGAAGATCACAAGGTCAATCCTGGCCGACATGGTGAAACCCCATCTCTACTAAAATACAAAAAATTAGCCGGGTGTGGTGGCACATGACTGTAGTCCTAGCTACTCGGGAGGCTGAGGTAGGGGAATTGCTTGAACGCAGGAGGCGGAGGTTGCAGTGAGCCGAGATTGTGCCACTGCACTCCAGCCTGGTGTTAGAGCAAGACTGCAAGACTCCGTCTCAAAAAAAGAAAAAAAGAAAAGAAAGCTAGAAGATCTAGCAGAAAGTATGCTGTGAACACCACACAAAATGAAGAAAGGTGGGAAAATATGACGGAAAAGATAAGATAAATGAGTAACAGATTGACAAGTTTGAATGCCCATTTAAATGGCATTCCAAAAATAGGAGAACAGGGCAAACAGAGAGATGAAAACAATTTAAAGGGAGGAAAAGAAAAAAGAGGTGAAGGAAACAGTAGATCTGAAGAGTGACTTATGCTTCAAAAAACCAACTTAAGACTGAATGGAGGAATCACTCATTCAATATTTCATGTTGATTTTAGACCACCAATGGTGAAGACAAGCATTTACAAGGTTTCAGAGTCACTGGTTTTGATCAGAAAACTAAGAACCACATTGATTCAGGCTTCTCATTAGCAACCTCACATACTTAGCAGACAGAGAAGTAATGTACTAGAGGTGCGAGAAGTGTTCTTGGATCTAGAATAACAAGCATAGTAAAATAGCCTTTAATTAGAAGGACAAATTAAATAAATTTGTGGACATCCAATAACTCAAAAGTTTCATAGAGAATCTTTCTTTTTCTTTTCTTTCTTTCTTTTTTTTTTTTTTCTTTTTTGAGAGAGTTTCACTCTTGTTGCCCAGGCTGGAGTGCAATGGTGCAATCTCAGCTCACTGCGACCTCTGCCTCCCAGGTTCAAGCAATTCTCCTGCCTCAACCTCCCAAGTAGCTGGAATTACAGGTGCTCGTTACCACGCCTGGCTAATTTTTTTGTATTTTTAGTAGAGATGGGGTTTCACCATGGTGGCCAGGCTCGTCTTGAACTCCTGGGCTCAAGTGATCGCCCGCCTCAGCCTCCCAAAGGGCTGGGATTACAAGTGTGAGCCAACGTGTCTGGCGAGAATCTTTCTTATTCTTTCTCTCTTTAATGAGATATATTTTATACACACAGAGATCTTAATTTACAGTTCCATGGGATTAAAACAAGTTTGCATTTATGTAATTTGCATTACTTTAAAAATTACAACAACATAATCTCTGAAACTTACTTCAATCAATTCACATCCCTACAACTGTTAAGATTTATTTTGTGATTAGCATCTTATAGTGGGTATTCTTTTTAGTGTCTGATATTTCTATTCATTAAAATACCTGTGAAACACATCCATGCTGTTCAATATATCAGTATTTCATTCAATTTTTTTCTGAGTCTTATGCCATTATATGAATACACCTGTGATCTGCTCACCAGCAGGCCCACATCACAAGTGACAGCTCCACCAATGCTGGATTCCAACATCTTATAATCTGATGTAGATAAATATTTTAAAAGACTAACCCACTGCACTCTATTATTTTTCATTAAGTACAGCCTGTCTTGTCCCATCAGACAGAGGATTAGTTCCCACATAACCTAAAAGTAGGTAATTCTAGGAAAGAAATCTGAGACAGATTGCTCAGGAACCATGCTGGAAAGGATCCTACCAGGTACTCCTCACTGCCAGAACAGGTGTAAACTTGTAGACTTATCCCTAGAAGACAAGATACCCATAAAAAAACTTAAAAGGTGGATCTGTCAGCAGAAACTCTACAAGACAGAAGAGAGTGGGGACCAATATTCAACATTCTTCAAGAAAAGAATTTTCAATCCAGAATTTCATATCCAGCCAAACTAAGCTTCATAAGTGAAGGAGAAATAAAATACTTTACAGACAAATAAATGCTGAGAGATTTTGTCACCACCAGGCCTACCCTAAAAGAGCTCCTGAAGGAAGCACTAAACATGGAAAGGAACAACCGGTACCAGCCACTGCAAAATCATGCCAAAATATAAAGACCATCGAGACTAGGAAGAAACTGCATCAACTAACGAGCAAAATAACCAGCTAACATCATAACGGCAGGATCAAATTCACACAGAACAATATTAACTTTAAATGTAAATGGACTAAATGCTCCAATTAAAAGACACAGACTGGCAAATTGGATAAAAAGTCAAGTCCCATCAGTGTGCTGTATTCAGGAAACCCATCTCACGTGCAGAGACACACATAGGCTCAAAATAAAAGGATGGAGGAAGATCTACCAAGCAAATGGAAAACAAAAAAAGGCAGGGGTTGAAATCCCAGTCTCTGACAAAACAGACTTTAAACCAACAAAGATAAAAAGAGATAAAGAAGGCCATTACATAATGGTAAAGGGATCAATTCACAAGAAGAGCTAACTATCCTAAATATATATGCAACCAATACAGGAGCACCCAGATTCATAAAGCAAGTCCTGAGTGACCTACAAAGAGACTTAGACTCCCACACAATAATAATGGGAGACTTTAACACAACCACTGTCAACATTAGGCAGATCCACGAGACAGAAAGTTAACAAGGATACCCAGGAATTCAACTCAGCTCTGCACCAAGCAGACCTAATAGACATCTACAGAACTCTCCACCTCAGATCAGCAGAATATACATTTTTTCAACACCACACCACACCTATTCCAAAATTGACCACATAATTGGAAGTAAAGCTCGCCTCAGCAAATGTAAAAGAACAGAAATTATAACAAACTATCTCTCAGACCACAGTGCAATCAAACTAGAACTCAGGATTAAGAAACTCACTCAAAACTGCTCAACTACACAGAAACTGAACAACCTGCTCCTGAATGACTACCGGGTACATAACGAAATGAAGGCAGAAATAAAGATGTTCTTTGAAACCAATGAGAACAAAGACACAACATACCAGAATCTCTGGGACACATTCAAAGCAGTGTGTAGAGGGAAATTTATAGCACTAAATGCCCACAAGAGAAAGCAGGAAAGATCCAAAATTGACACCCTAACATCACAATTAAAAGAACTAGAAAAGCAAGAGCAAACACATTCAAAAGCTAGCAGAAGGCAAGGAATAACTAAAATCAGAGCAGAACTGAAGGAGATAGAGACACAAAAAACTCTTCAAAAAATTAATGAATCCAGGAGCTGGTTTTTTGAAAGGTTCAACAAAATTGATAGACCGCTAGCAAGACTAATAAAGAAACAAGGAGAGAAGAATCAAAGAGACGCAATAAAAAATGATAAAGGGGGTATCACCACCAATCCCACAGAAATACAAACTACCATCAGAGAATACTACAAACACCTCTACGCAAATAAACTAGAAAATCTAGAAGAAATGGATAAATTCCTCGACACGTACACCCTCCCAAGACTAAACCAGGAAGAAGTTGATTCTCTGAATTGACCAATAACAGGCTCTGAAATTGTGCCAATAATCAATAGCTTACCAACCAAAAAGAGTCCAGGACCAGATGGATTCACAGCCGAATTCTACTAGAGGTACAAGGAGGAACTGGTACCATTCCTTCTGAAACTATTCCAATCAATAGAAAAAGAGGGAATCCTCCCTAACTCATTTTGTGAGGCCAGCATCATCCCGATACCAAAGCCTGGCAGAGACACAACCAAAAAAGAGAATTTTAGACCAATATCTTTGATGAACATTGATGCAAAAATCCTCAATAAAATACTGGCAAACCGAATCCAGCAGCACATCAAAAAGCTTATCCACCATGATCAAGTGGGCTTCATCCCTGGGATGCAAGGCTGGTTCAATATACACAAATCAATAAATGTAATCCAGCATATAAACAGAACCAAAGACAAAAAACCACATGGTTATCTCAATAGATGCAGAAAAGGCTTTGACAAAATTCAACAATGCTTCATGCTAAAAACTCTCAATAAATTAGGTATTGATGGGATGTATCTCAAAATAATAAGAGCTATCTATGACAAACCCACATCCAATATCATACTGAATGGGCAAAAACTGGAAGCATTCCCTTTGAAAACTGGCACAAGACAGGGATGCCCTCTCTCACCACTCCTATTCAACTTAGTGTTGGAAGTTCTGGCCAGGGCAATTAGGCAGGAGAAGGAAATAATGGGTATTCAATTAGGAAAAGAGGAAGTCAAATTGTCCCTGTTTACAGATGACATGATTGTATATCTAGAAAACCCCATTGTCTCAGCCCAAAATCTCCTTAAGCTGATAAGCAACTTCAGCAAAGTCTCAGGATACAAAATCAATGTACAAAAATCACAAGCATTCTTATACACCAATAACAGACAAACAGAGAGCCAAATCATGAGTGAACTCCCATTCACAATTGCTTCAAAGAGAATAAAATACCTAGGAATCCAACTTACAAGGGACTTGAAGGACTTCTTCAAGGAGAACTACCAACCACCGCTCAAGGAAATAAAAGAGGATACAAAAAATGGAAGAACATTCCATGCTCATGGGTAGGAAGAATCAATATCGTGAAAATGGCCATACTGCCCAAGGTAATTTATAGATTCAATGCCATCCCCATCAAGCTACCAATGACTTTCTTAACAGAATTGGAAAAAACTACTTGAAAGTTCATATGGAACCAAAAAAGAGCCCGCATCGCCAAGTCAATCCTAAGCCAAAAGAACAAAGCTGGAGGCATCACGCTACCTGACTTCAAACTATACTACAAGGCTACAGTAACCAAAACAGCATGGTACTGGTACCAAAACAGAGATATAGATCAATGGAACAGAACAGAGCCCTCAGAAATAATGATGCATATCTACAACTATCTGATCTTTGACAAACCTGAGAAAAACAAGCAATGGGGAAAGGATTCCCTATTTAATAAATGGTGCTGGGAAAACTGGCTAGCCAGATGTAGAAAGCTGAAACTGGATCCCTTCCTTACACCTTATACAAAAATTAATTCAAGATGGATTAAAGACTTAAACGTTAGACCTAAAATCATAAAAACCCTAGAAGAAAACCTAGGCATTACCATTCAGGACATAGGCATGGGCAAGGACTTCATGTCTAAAACACCAAAAGCAATGGCAACAAAAGCCAAAATTGACAAATGGGATCTAATTAAACTAAAGAGCTTCTGCACAGCAAAAGAAACTACCATCAGAGTGAACAGGCAACCTACAAAATGGGAGAAAATTTTTGCAACCTACTCATCTGACAAAGGGCTAATATCCAGAATCTACAATGAACTCAAACAAATTTACAAGAAAAAAACAAACAACCACATCAAAAAGTGGGCGAAGGACATGAACAGACACTTCTCAAAAGAAGACATTTATGCAGCCAAAAAACACATGAAAAAATGCTCACCATCACTGGCCATCAGAGAAATGCAAATCAAAACCACAATGAGATACCATCTCACACCAGTTAGAATGGCAATCATTAAAAAGTCAGGAAAAAAAAAAGGTGCTCAGGTGCAGGAGAGGATGTGGAGAAATAGGAACACGTTTACACTGTTGGTGGGACTGTAAACTAGTTCAACCATTGTGGAAGTCAGTGTGGCGATTCCTCAAGGATCTAGAACTAGATATACCATTTGACCCAGCCATCCCATTACTGGGTATATATCCAAAGGACTATAAATCATGCTGCTATAAAGACACATGCACACGTATGTTTATTGCAGCACTATTCACAATAGCAAAGACTTGGAACTAACCCACATGTCCAACAATGATAGACTGGATTAAGAAAACGTGGCACATATACACCATGGAATACTATGCAGCCATAAAAAATGGTGAGTTCATGTCCTTTGTAGGGACATGGATGAAATTGGAAATCATCATTCTCAGTAAACTATCGCAAGGACAAAAAACCAAACACCGCATGTTCTCACTCATAGGTGGGAATTGAACTATGAGAACACATGGACACAGGAAGGGGAACATCACACTCTGGGGACAGTTGTGGGGTGGGGGGAGGGGGGAGGGATAGCATTAGGAGATATACCTAATGCTAAATGACGAGTTAAGGGGTGCAGCACACCAGCATGGCACATGTATACATAGGTAACTAACCTGCACATTGTGCACATGTACCCTAAAACTTAAAGTATAATAATAATAAAATTAAAAAAAAGAAAAAAATTCATAATGAGTTTAATATACTGATCTTTTTAATTCAAGTTTCATATTATATAACTTTTACTTAATTTCTTTGTTTTTTACTTATAATTTTTCTATTTTACAGTAAAAATCTTGGTTCCTAATGACATAAATACAATTGTTTAAATTATTAACATTTTTGCTTAATTACCTAATCATGTGTATAAATACATAGTATTATACACATAGTATTTCCAAACAACAATAACAATCTTATTATTAACAGTGTTATTACTGACAATAATATTTTAGTTTTCTTTTTATTTATTTTTATCTTTAAGATATATCACACTAGGGACATATATTAAATTTTTGTGCTTTAAATTCAATTGTAATAATTTATTTCTGTATCATTCAATCATCAACTTAAAACACAATTTTTTTAATCCTGCTCCTTCTGTATTAAGACACAATTTCTTTATGTTTCATTTTGTTTTAGACTTGAAGAGATTGATTTTTAATTTATTATTCTTAATTTTTAATTATAATGGAAACCTGATAGTTGTATATATTTACAGGGTACATGTGATATTCTGATACAAGCGTACAATATGTAATGATCATATTAGGGTAATTGGGATATCCATCACCTCAACCATTTATCATTTCTTTGTGTTAGGAACATCCGAGTTCTACTTTTCTTATGTGTTTTAAAATATACAATGAATTGTTGTTAACTATAGTTACCCTATTGTGCCTCTGAACACTAGATCTTCTTCTTTCTAATGGTATTTTTATACCCATTAATATCTCATCTAATTTTATTTTATATTTAAGAAAAACATTTATATTGTTTCAAAGTCAAATCTATAAGACAAGTTATAGCCAAAGAAATCTAGCACTTATACCTATCGCTTTTATCCTTATTCTCCCTCCCCCTATATTAAGCATTTTTATGAGTTTTGGTTTATCCTTCCACTTTTTAATATGCTGCTAAGATGAAGCAAAATATACACACTGCTCTGTACTTGTTTTTTTTTTTTTTTTTTTTGAGACGGAGTCTCGCTCTGTCGCCCAGGCCGGACTGCGGACTGCAGTGGCGCAATCTCGGCTCACTGCAAGCTCCGCTTCCCGGGTTCACGCCATTCTCCTGCCTCAGCCTCCCGAGTAGCTGGGACTACAGGCGCCCGCCACCGCGCCCGGCTAATTTTTTGTATTTTTAGTAGAGACGGGGTTTCACCTTGTTAGCCAGGATGGTCTCGATCTCCTGACCTCATGATCCACCCGCCTCGGCCTCCCAAAGTGCTGGGATTACAGGCGTGAGCCACCGTGCCCGGCCTCTGTACTTGTTTTGTTCCTGAAACATATATCCCTGAAATATGTCTTAACAGTAAACATATTTCTCATTTCCTTTTCTTTTTATATCCCATCATAAGTATGTGCCAGAATTTATTCAACCAGTTATCTATTGCATTAGGATTCCCCAAAGGAAAAAAAGCAATAGAAGAAAGATAATTCTTTATTATAAATCTATACATACCTACATCTATGTCTTTATTTATATCATCATAAAGATATAGATGTAGGTATGTATAGATTCATAATAAAGAATTGGCTCATGTAACTATGGAAGCCGAAAATTTCCAAGATCTGCAGTTAGCAAGCTGGAAACAGGAAAGCCAAACAAGGAAAGCCAATGGTGTAAGTTCCAATCCAAGGTCCTGAGAAGACTGATGTCCCAGCTCAAGCTGTGAGGCAGGAGAAGTTTCCCTCTTATTTAGCCTTTTTGCTCTATTCAGATGTTCAGTTGACTGAAAGAGGTCCACCCACATTCGGGAGAGCAATCCGCTTTACTCAGTCTGCTGATTAAAATGTCAATCTCATCCAGAAGCACCTTCACAGACACATCCAGAATGTTTCGCTGAACATCTAGGCACCCTGTGATCCAGTCAGGTTGACATATAAAATTAACTCACTCCACTACTGATGGGCATTTTGGTTGTTTCCAGGTGTTCAACTCCACTTTATATGCCCTTTAAGCTTGCTCATTCCTTGTGCCTTTATTCATGCTAGTCCCTGCTCCAAATATCTTTTTTTACTCTGCAGTATCATACCCTTTCCCACTTTTCAAGGTTTATCTAAGAGCTGTCCCTTTAAAAAAATTAAAAAAAAAAAAAAACTTCTTAGATTTAGATGTCCCCAGCTGGACATTGAAAGCACCAGTTCCTGAATAGAAACATCCACCTCCCTCTGACCTCCTGCAATGAAGAGCATCCCGTTGATTCATGTCTTTTATGATCATGGCCTCTTTCAGTAAGACTTAGATAGGGAGAATACCTATAAAGTAGTCAGAAGAATTTGAGATGTAGCATTACCAGTAGGTTAAATATTTATTTCTTTATTTTTGAGACAGAGTGTCACTCTGTCGTCCAGGCTGGAGTGCAGTCGCGCAATCTCAGCTCACTGCAACCTCTGCCTCTTGGGTTCAAGCAAGTCTCACACCTCAGCCTCCTGAGTAGCTAGGACTACAAGCGAGCACCAACACGGCCAGCTAATTTTGTATTTTTAGTAGAGATGGGGTTCACCATGTTGGTGAGGCTGGTCTTGAACTCCTGACTTCAAGTGATACAACCACCTTGGCCTCCCAAAGTGCTGGGATTACAGGCATGAGCCACTGCTCCCAGATGCCAGTAGATTAAATATTCTGCCTACAGAAGTGAAAACTGTTGTTGTTGAAGGGAACTTTAACTTTTAGTTTCTAAAATTACACAGCTTGACGTTTTCTGGGAGTTTACATTAAAAAGACTGGCATGACGAGGGTATATGAAGATGTAACTACAAAGGAAAATGTATGAATAAAAGAGTTTTTCAACATCCTTGGTTTATGTTGCCACTTTTGACAAAGTTGTCACTCCTATGAAAATGCTTTCTGCCTGGTTCTCTGGAAGTGAAAATAAAATTAAAAGTTCCCCTGGTTAGGAGACAGTCTTCTTTTAAGAAATGAGCAGAGCTCCTTTTTGTGTTTCTTTACCCTCTAGGTGGTAAGAGATACCCATCTGTTGCACTATCTATTCTGGAATGTCTGAGTGACATACACAGAGAAATATTCCTAGATTGGCTGTTGGTAAGAATGACTGTGTTTGGCTTTTACATAATATGTAAAGTGTACAGGTTTGCTTTTACTTGCTTAGATGGTCTCCTGGTATGTTACGGCCACCATTTTTGCAACTGAGGCTGCTGTCTCTCTTCAATTCCTGCTTACACCAGCCACATATATGCATCTTTCTAAGAGTTGTCTGCTCAATAAATGGCGTTAACTTAATTCTGAGGAAGTGGCAGGAAAGTGACAAACTCATTCATTGAGCAGAATCCATGTGGAGGGCACTTAGGCCATATGGACTGAGAGCCATAGTGATGTTCATACACCCCTGGCAACGCAGAGAGCCTAGGTCTTGGAACCCAGTACAAGAAATTATTTGAAGAGAAAAAATCTCCACTTAGAAAAAATTTAGAGCAGTACTAATTTGTAACAGGAAAGAGCTATAAAATAACATCTAAGATTAGAGAATGGCTAAGATTAGAGAATGGCTAAGAACACTACAGTGTCTTCTGTAATTAACCCTGCACATTGTTTTATACATCTTCAGATGCATTGTGAAGTGATTGTAGCATGGGTTGAGAAAGAAGAAGAACACAGAATCTGTGATATATTTTAACTTCAGCAACATGACATAAGCAGTTAAAAAGGGTTTGTCTTCCTGGGTAGTAGCCCAGTTCTAAGCCAGGGACTTTGAGATCCTCATAGAATGATGGCCCCAGGACTTGCCTGCTTACCCAGTGGTAAATGGATTCTGCCTAGATCCAGAAAATCCAGATTCAGTGACTTCAAATCTCAGAGACGTACAGCCACAACGATTTATTTTTCTTGCTCACCGGTCTGTGGGTTCACTCTGCTTCAGGCTGTGAGCTGAGTCTATATCTATTCCACAGTCTCCTCATTCTGACATGTATCCACATTCCTCACATAGTGGATGGTGGAAGCACAGGAGTAGTAGGTAGCCTCTGCTTAGAGCTGGCATGCTGTCACTTCTGCCCATATTTCCATTGGCAAAAACAAATGCCCAATATGAAGAAGGTAGGAAGTGGAGTCTTCCTGCTCAAATGGAAGGCACAGAGAAGTCACATGGCAGAGAGCATGAATGTATAATTTCATTACAGGGAAGAAATGAGAAATCGGGTCATAAAACCTCAATCTACCACACAACTTAAGATCTTGAAAGAATAAATAAATAAACCTATGAACATATCACTTTAAAGTTTTTACCCAAGAAAATCAAGGTGCTTAGCACTCTCCAGACTAAGCTTATCTGCCCCAATTTCCTCCTGTCCCTACAAGTAGCTACAACCCCAACGACATACTTACCATCTCAGAGGAAGCATCTGTTGGCTCACAGTTCCGTTGGTTCCAGGTGGGGAGTATGTGCACATAGTTCATGCGCAACACAGTCTTTACCATGATTTGATTAGTTTTTTCCACATGGAGGTACAGGGGCACGTTGAAATTTTCTATATTATGAGTGTGTGTATAAAAGACATAGTTCGTTAGTCCCTTCCCCCAGTACTTGGGTACAATACCTGCCATTCTTGATTCTCCTCTTTGGTCCATCAAGACCCAGGACACAGGCCTCCTCTCTTGGGCCCAGCAGACAAGTGTTAGAAAAGTTCTAGATACAACGGTGGATGAATTTCAGGCTCCTCTCCGTCCCACCAAATGTCCAACTCTGAGTCACCAATTCAGCATGGCTTATGTCCAGGGAAGATTCTTTAAACATTTCTTTGTTGCTGTAGGGAACAAGGAAAAGGCAAAGTGAACCAAATGGCATTGAGTTGCTTTCAATGGGAAGTTAACACTATGTTATTTGATCTTTAAAAACAAAACAAACAAACAACAACAACAACAACAACAACAAACCTTGAAAAGATCTTGTCATTCACAATGATGCTGGCAGTCATTATGCTAAGTGAAATAAGCCAGGTACAGAAAGACGAATAAATACTGCATCATCTATCTTATATGTGAAATCTTAAAAAGTTAAACTCACAGAAGTAGAGAGTAGAATGGTGGTTACTGTGAGTTGGGGAGCAGCTTTGGGAGGGACTGGGGAGATGTTGGCTAAAGGATACAATGTTTAATTAGGCAGGAGGAATAAACTTAAGAGATTTATTGTATAACATGGTGACTGTAGTTAATAACAATGTATTGTGTACTTGAAACTTGCTAAGAGAGTAGATTTTAAGTGTTTGTGCCACAAAAAAATGATAAGTGTGGGAGGTAATGGGTATGTTAATTAGCTGGATGTAACCATTACACAGTGTACACATATTTCAAAACATAATCTTATATACAATAAATGTATATAATTCTTGTCGATTAAACAAATTTAAAAATAAAAATGAATCTTAAAATTCTAAAAAAAAAACCCTCTGAGGTAGGTAGGACAGAAATTTTGTACCAAGTTTTATAAATAAGGAAGCCAAGAATATAGCTTGCATCTATTGAAGAGCATAGTTGGAACTTTGGAGTCCATCTTTTAGAGCTCAAAATAGGCCTTGAGATAACCCAAGCCAATGGATTCTTTTTACCTGGGGAAGCTGAAGTCCACAGAAGTCAAATGACTTGGAAATCCTTGGTAGCTTGAAGCACAGGCGAAATTAGTGCACACTTCTCCATACCCCATACTAGTTCTCTGCCTTTTGTCCTCTGATTTTCATAAATACACTAACATTTTCTAGTTAAACCAAATATGGTCAAGGGGGTCTCATAAATAGAGCTGTCATTATTTATCTTAAACATAAGATCCAGAATATTTTTTGTAATGAATGAGAATGTGATCCCAAGTTTTAACAGAAGAAAAGGTTCAGTGCATACAAAGGACCTTGCTGAAGTGCTGGCTGTATGTAATTTTTAAAGCCTGGAGCTAACCTGATGTATGAAAAGGGGTTTGAGTAATGAGACAGTACAGAAGAATCCCAGCATGTCTAGTTAGAATCATGAGCTTACAGGCAGGCTGACTTGAATTTCCACCCAAAGCTCTATCCTTTACCCACTGAGTAACTTTTGCCAGGTTAATTACTAGATCTGAGCTTCTATTTCTGACTCTATAAAGTTAATGGGTATGAAATGCTTTGGAATTTGTAGCATTTTGGACAAATAACTATGACATACAAAAGGATAAAAGCACTTTCAGTTATATAAACCAAAAACAGTCCCTGGAGTGACAGACACCCGTGAAAATTACCTAGAAATAAATAAAATGGAGCTTAAATTCGAGAGCCCTAGAAGCAGATGAACATGACCTCAACTCTAGCCCTACTTTGTGCTTGCTTTGTAACCTCATGCAAGTTCCTCTTGCTCTCTGAGGCCCATTCTGCTCACCTGAGTAATCCTCAGAAAGTTTGTGAGGATAGACAAAGATTATCTGCTTAATCAAAATTTAGTCATGCTCCTGAACCTTCTGCTAGGCCCATCTGTGTGCTTCCTCATAAAATCCAGTTTTATCAAACAACCTTGCTAAGTCAGTTTAGCAATAATCTACCACCCTCAATATTTCATCCTCCACCATCCCCCAGGTGATGTCTCATCAGCTCGGCCTGTCTTCAGCAAGAATTCTGTTAGGTCAGTTTAGCCAAAATTCCCCTTACTCCTGATATTTCTTCTGAGTGATTTTCCATCCACTGACTTCCACCCTGCTCTTGGCTGTAAAAATTTCTACTTGCCCACGCAGTATTCAGAGTTAACCCCAGTCTCTCTCCCCTATGGCAAAGTCCCATTGCAGTGGTCCCTATACCATTGCAATAGTCCTGAATGAAGTCTTCCTTACCAAGCTTTGCAAATATCATTGAATATTTTTTTCTTTGACAGGATGAAAAGAGATAATGTATGCACAGTACAGGAACAAAGTGTGTCATCAGTAAATAATTACGTTCACTATGATTAACCAGTTGGATGAGGATCTTCTCATATGATTAATTGAACCAGCAGGCAAATGGAATTATCTTTACAGTGACTCTCTTGACTGCCAACTCCACTGGGACACATCTGATGTTTAAAATGCAGAATGTGTGTGTGTGTATGTGCACATGCCCGTTTGAGGTAGCTTTTATGTCACTCACATGTCACCGGGTTTAGCAACATGTGATGCCATTTTCTTTTCATTAAGCAGAGAAGGAAGAAGTTTCTTCAGTTTCCAGACATAAAGGTGAGTCGTTCCAATCATGAGACAGTGAGAGACTTGGCAGCTGCCACATTCTTAATCACTTCATTTAAGCTGGACTGAGTCACTATAAGGGAAACAAAAGAGAATGTGTATGTCCAGAGAGAACTCAGGGGAAGTCTGTAGGTAGAATGCACACATTCCACAAACATTTGCTGAGTACAGTGTTAGGCACTATGCTCCTTGATATACAAGGGTGTACAAACCAGGCAATCCCTGACCTTACAGATCTAATAAATAAATAGTCTAATAAGAGAGACAGATATCACATGTGCAACCACATAAATAAATGCATACTTAGAAATTGTGGGCTGGGCACAGTGGCTCACGCTGTAATTCCAGCACTTTGGGAGGCTGAGGCAGGTGGATCACTTGAAGGCATGAGTTTGAGACCAGCCTGGTCAACATGGTGAAACCCCTTTTCTACTAAAAATACAAAAATTAGCCAGGCATAGTGGTGTGCACCTGTAATCCCAGCTACTCAAGAGGCTGAGGCAGGAGAATCGCTTGAACCTGGGAGGCAGAAGTTGCAGTGAGCTGAGACTATCCCACTGTACTCCAGCTTGGGCAACAGAGCAAGACTCCATCTCAAAAAAAAAAAATTGTGGTGCTTTAAAGGGAAAAGTGAAAGTAGCTACAAATCAATATAAAATAGAGTCTCAATTCACTTGAGGGAGTTGCAGGAGGTCCCTCTTAGAAAGGTAGGTGAGATGTTCTAGGCAGTGGCATGAAAAATAGATGGGATTCAGAGGTACGGACAGGTTTAGAGGTCCAGTTTTACCCTGAAATAACTTCGACTCATTCAGGTGATCACTTGACCACCTGAACTACTGTCCTGCTTATTCACAGAGCTGTATTCAAAAGCAAATGAGATGCTTTCTGTCAAAGTGTTACATAATCTATAAGTGCTTTTAATCTTATTCTTTAAAATAAATGCCAAAAAGAAAACTTTGATCCCATTCTACAACTACAAGGTTTCTAGGGGATCACAGCAAATCTGAAAATGACATTACCAACCCTATGTCAAATTGAGTAAGTTTCTTCCTCAATTCCTCACCCTCCCACCCACTCCCATTCCCACCCTTCTCTTTCTACTGCTCTATATTCAAAAGCACAAATTCCTCAAAGACACCTTCCAGTGTTCCACCTATCATAGAGCCTTCCTTAATACACTAGATTGGAAAATGATTTATCTCTCCTCTGAAACTCTCCAGCACTTTACCCATACCTTTCTGGGAACTTCCTAGTCTACCTTGTTTCAAATTGTTTTCTGCACAGTTGGTGGCACAGGCAGGTAGCTGACTTCAAGGGAAAGATTGCCTTGCTCCTGGATGACTAAAAGCCAGTGCTGAGAAGTAAAGCACTGATGGGGACCTTGAACTCGGATTAAGCAGCTGAGAAGAACTCTAATGAGGACATTTTCTTTCTTAATGCTACAGGTAAATAAGCCCATTTATTTTTACCTGTTTTGTATTATAATCTGGTAAAGAGAAAAAGGAGCTTTCCAGGAAGAAAAGAATCTAGAAAAGAGGGATTAAAAATGGGATGAAGGCTGGGCACACTGGCTCACGCCTGTAATCCCAGCACTTTGGGAGGTCAAGGTGAGAGGATCACTTGAGGCCAGTTCAAGATTAGCCTGGGCAACATAGTGAGACCCTGGTCCCTATGAAAGAAAAATGTTTTTAATTTAGCCAGGCAAGATGGCATGGGCTTGTAGTTCCAGTTACTTGGGAGGCTGAGGTGGGAGGATCACTTGAGCCCAGGATTTTGAGGTGGCAATTAGCCATGATCATGCTACTGCACTCCAGCCTGGGTAACAGAGCAAGACTCTGTTTCTAAAATAAAATTAAAAGTAAACAAATAAAAGTAGGTGCAAAAAGGTCATGAAAAAATTTCTCCAGAAGGCTGGGCATGGTGGCTCATGCCTGTAATTCCAACACTTTGGGAGGGTGAGTTGGGAGAATCACTTGACACCAGCAGTTCTTACCTGCCTGGACAACATAGTGAGACTCTGTCTCTATTTTAAAAAAAATAAATACATAATAAAAAATATAAAAAATTTCTCCAGAGACCTCTGTGGTTTTTCAGGGATGGCATAAATGACATTAGAGGGTGACATCAGTGGGAATGATGGAATAAGGACCTCTAAAAATCCTCTCCTTCATCAAAGTGACAAGAACACTGAAAAAAGCCAAAATAAACATTTTCCAAAACTCCAAAAATTAACCAAAAATTTGCAACAATCTGAAGATTTATTCCAGAGAAACAGCTGAATCTGTTTGTTTTTTTGTCCATGACCTGTTGAAAAAGCAGCTGAAACTTTCTGAGAATAGTGAGCTTTGTGGTATTGTGACTTGCCCTATCCGTAGTGGCCTCTCCGCAGCTCCGTGGTATAAACCAACAGTCCTACAATCATGGTGAAAGCCAGGAGCCTAGCAACTATTGGACAGGCAGTATGGGTTTGGAGCTCCCTGAAAGCAATATTCTCAGAGGTTTGTTGCTATTTGACATGTCTGGCAGTTCCCTGTGAACCCCAACGCTCACAGCTTTTTTCAGATGATCTTAGTCAGGGCTTGCTTACTGTGCAAAGCCATTTCCCCCAGTCATCTGCTGAAAACAGTCAGCATCGATTAATACATCATAGCTGCCTGACATGGCAACGATATTTAGGGCAAACAAAAACCTAAACAAAACATTTAAAAGGATCAGCTGGGGGATGAGATGTCCATAGACAGCTTTGAAAGCTCTGACAAATTTCTAAGAATCTAGAAGGCTACATGTTTGCATATAGCTGTGGACATGCCCAGGGAAGTACGAGAAGACTCTAACAAGATCTCCGATCCAATTGACCTTGAGGCTGCACACACACAGGAAATGAAGGTTAAGGCAGAGTTGTAAACTACCTGCCTAAAAACTGAAAGCATGACCTAATACAAACACAAAGCCCCTCAGCAAAGGCTAGGAGGTGAATGGTTCCAGACATTTAAGGATCGCTAAGCTAATTGATCAGAGACTTCAGTGGTCACTTTATGAGTATGCTTAAAACAACTTAACTGTACACTTTACAAGGGTAAATTTTATGGGTGTATTATATTGCAATAAAAAAACTATTCATAATTAATGCACAAAAGATAAGCTAAAACAATAATTGGCAAAGGTATGATAGGCAATGCATAGGAGGAATATGAGTGGTCAACAAACATATGCAAACTTATGTTAATCATCAATCTTAAGAGAAATCATTAATTTTCTATTAAATGAGATTTTAAAAGAAAGAAAGAATTATAGAGCCTGCTCTCTGACACTGACCCTTGAACTAAGTAGGCAGTATTACCTCTCCCTGCTCGGAGGAAGGCAATACCTAAAACCTTTGGCCTTCATCTTGTCCAAAGACTCCCCCACTGATACCCACAAATTTATAAATTTGTATAAACCTCTTTGCCCCTATCATTGGTTGACTAGAATAAATACCACACACAAGCCAGCCTGGTACCAAATTTTATGCCCCCACCTTGGTTCCCAAAGGTTGTGCCCACACAAGGCCTATCTCTTTCCCACAAATGGCACCCAATGTTCCTGCAACTTGAGTCTACAAATGTTGCTTCCAGTTATGATGCCTGGCTGGCCAAGGACCTCTGGTAAATTCTCTGCATTCTTGGAATAGATTTGGTACGTGTTGGTGTAGTGATCAAGGTCATTTGTCATCTCCTGGATGGCTCCAAAAAGAAAAAGAACAGACTTTGAAACACTAGAGAACTTATGCAGATAGAAAAGTTGTTCATCCCAACTCTGACAAAAATATCACCAAAAAATGGGCTCATGTCCCAGTTAGAGAACAGTCACTCCTACCTGGTCTTGTGGCCAGATGAGGACTGTGTTGAAATTAGGCACCTGTCCACTCGCACCTGAAGCTTGAATGCGTTCCTCTGCTTTATATGGAAAACAGTACATAATCTGTAGCATAAATCTGTAGCAGCTCAAAGAATAGGAAGAGTCAAGACCCTGGAAAAAGCAACAAAGCATTCTTCAATAAATTCACAGACTCTTATGGCTGCCAGTGTTGGAGTCTGTACAGCATATTCACCAACTGGTATCTGCTCGAAGAGCTTGAGTTACAGGGAATTTGTTACTTTCAAAGGCAACCAAATATGCCCTTGTTCAGCTCTAACAATTTTTAAAAACATTTGTCATTTGTAACTGGTATTCTACCTCTTTCATTTTTCTTTTTAATCACAGTCTGGGGCCATGGAAAATCATCATTCATTTTCACCCTATGGAACTTGACGTGGCTGAAAGCCACTGCCTTAGTAATAATTATGATTCTTCAGTAAGCAAACCTTATATTCCAGCCACAGTCCTAGGCACTTTACTTGCATTATCTAATTTAATTCTTTTTTAATATACTTTAAGTTCTGGGATACATGTACAGAACGTGCAGGTTTGTTACGCAGGTATACATGTGCCACGGTGGTTTGCTGTACCCATCAACAAGTCATCTACATTAGGTATTTCTCCTAATGATATCCTTCCCCTAGCCCCCCACTCCCCGACAGGCCACAGTGTGTGGTGTTCCCCTCCCTGTTTCCATGTGTTCTCATTGTTCAACTCCAACTTATGATTGAGAACATGCAGTGTTTGGTTTTCTGTTCCTGTGTTAGTTTGCTGAGAATGATGGCTTCCAGCTTCATCCATGTCCCTGCTTATCCTTTTTTATAGCCGCATAGTATTCCATGATGTATATGTGCCTCATTTTCTTTATCCAGTCTACCACTGATGGGCATTTGGGTTGGTTCCAAGTCTTTGCTATTGTGAATAGTGCTGCAAAGGGATTGCTGGGTCAAATGGTATTTCTGGTTCTAGATACTTGAGGAATCACCACACTGTCTTCCACAATGGTTGAACTAATTTACACTCCCACCAACAGTGTAGAAGCATTCCTATTTCTCCACATCCTCTCCAGCATCTGTTGTTTCCTGGCTTTTTAATGATTGCCATTCTAACTGGCATGAGATGGTATCTCATTGTGGTTTTGATTTGCATTTCTCTAATGACCAGTGATGATAAGCTTGTTTTCAGATGTTTGTTGGCCGCATAAATGTCTTCTTTTGAGAAGTGTCTGTTCATAACCTTTGCCCAATTTTGATGGGGTTGTTTGTTTTTTTCTTGTAAATCTGTTTAAGTTCTTTGTAGATTCTGGATATTAGCCCTTTGTCAGATGCATAGATTGCAAAAATTTTCTCCCATTCTGTAGGTTGCCTCTTCACTCTGATGATAGTTTCTTTTGCTGTGCAGAAGCTCTTTAGTTTAATTAGATCCCTTTTGACAATTTTGGCTTTTGTTGCCATTGCTTTTGGTGTTTTAGTCATAAGGTCTTTGCCCATGCCTAGATCCTGAATGGTATTTCCTAGGTTTTTTTCTAGGGTTTTTTTTTTTTATGGTTTTAGGCCTTATGTTTAAGTCGTTAATCCATCTTGAGTTAATTTTTGCATAAGGTGTAAGGAAGGGGTCCAGTTTCAATTTTCTATATAAGGATAGCCAGTTTTTCCAATATCATTTATTAAATAGGGAATCCTTTCCCCATTTCCTGTTTTTGTCAGGTTTTCAAAGATCAGATGGTTGTAGATGTGACATTATTTCTGAGGCCTCTGTTCTGTTCCATTGGTCTATGTATCTGTTTTGGTGCCAGTACCATGCTGTTTTGGTTACTGTAGCCTTGTAGTATAGTTTAAAGTAAGGTAGTATGATACCTCCAGCCTTGTTCTTTTTGCTTAGGATTGTCTTGGCTATACAGGCTCTTTTTTGGTTTCATATGAAATTTAAAGTAGTTTTTTCCAGTTCTGTGAAGAAAGTCAATGGTAGCTTGATGGAGACAGCGTTGAATCTATAAATTACTTTGGGCAGTATGGCCATTTTCACAGTATTGATTCTATCCATGAGCACAGAATGCTTTTCCATTTGTTTGTGTCCTCTCTTATTTTGTTCAGCAGTGGTTTGTAGTTCTCCTTGAAGAGGTCCGTCACATCCCTTGTAAGTTGTATTCCTAGGTATTTTATTCTCTTTGTAGCAACTGTGAATGGGAGTTCACTCGTGATTTGGCTCTCTATTTGTCTATTATTGGTGTATAGAAATGCTTGTGATTTTTGCACATTGATTTTGTATTCTGAGACTTTGCTGACATTGCTTATTAGCTTAATGAGATTTTGTGCTGAGACGATGGAGTTTTCTAAGTGTACAATCATGTCATCTGAAAACAGAGACAATTTGACTTCCTCTCTTCCTAATTGAATACCCTTTATTTCTTTCTCTTGTCTGATTGCCCTGGCCAGAACTTCCAATACTATGTTGAATAGGAGTGGTGAGAGAGGGCATCATTGTCTAGTGCCAGTTTTCAAAGGGAATGCTTCCATCTTTTTCCCATTCAGTATGATATTGGCTGTGGGTTTGTCATAAATAGGTCTTATTATTTTGACATACATTCCATCAATACCTAGTTTATTGAGAGTTTTTAACATGAATGGGTGTTGAATTTTATCAAAGGCCTTTTCTGCATCTGTTGAGATAATCATGCGATTTTTGTCATTGGTTCTGTTTGTGTGCTGGATTACGTTTATTGATTTGCATATGTTGAACCAGCCTTGCATCCCAGGGATGAAGCCAACTTGATCGCGGTGGATAAGCTTTTTGATGTGCTGCTGAATTCAGTTTGGCAGGATTTTATTGAGGATTTTTGCATTGAGGTTCTCTCTGCCAGGTTTTGGTATCATGATGATGCTGGCCTCATAAAATGAGTTAGGGAGGAATACCTCCTTTTGTATTGTTTGGAATAGTTTCAGAAGGAAATGTACCAGCTCCTCTTTGTACCTCTGGTAGAATTCATCTGTGAATCTATCTGGTCCTGGGCTTTTTAGGGCTGGTAGGCTATTAATTACTGCCTCAACTTCAGAACTTGTAATTTGTCTATTCAGGGATTTGACTGTTTTCTGATTTCATCTTGGGAAGGTGTATGTGTCCAGGAATTTCTCAATTTCTTCTAGATTTTCTAGTTTATTTTGCATAGAGGTGTTTATAGCATTTTCTGATGGTAGTTTGTATTTCTGTGGGATCGATGGTGATATCCCCTTTATCATTTTTTGTTGTGTCTATTTGATTCTTGTATCTTTCCTTCTTTATTAGTCTGGCTAGCAGTCTATCTATTTTGTTAATCTTTTCAGAAAACCAGCTCCTGGATTCATTGATTTTTTTAAGGGTTTTTCACATTTCTACCTCCCTCAGTTCTGTTCTGATCTTAGTTATTTCTTGTCTTCTGCTAGCTTTTGAATTTGTTTGCTCTTGCTTCTGTAGTTCTTTTAATTGTGATGTTAGGGTGTCGATTTTAGATCTTTCTCATTTTCTCCTGTGGGCATTTAATGCTATAAATTTCCTTCTAAACACTGCCTTAGCTGTGTCCCAGAGAATCTAGTACCGTGTGTCTTTATTCTCATTGGTTTCAAAGAACTTATTTATTTTTGCCTTAATTTCATTATTTACCCAGTAGTCATTCAGGGGCCGGTTGTTCAGTTTCCATGTAGTTGTGTGGTTTTGAGTGAGTTTCTTAATCCTGAGTTCTAATTTGATTGCACTGTGGTCTGAGAGACTGTTTGTTATGATTTCCATCCTTTTTCATTTGCTAAGAAGTGTTTTACTTCCAATTATGTGGTCAATTTTAGAATAAGTGTGATGTGGTGCTGAGAAGAGTGTATATTCTGTTGATTTGGGGTGGAAAGTTCTGTAGATGTCCATTAGGTCTGCTTGGTCCAGAGCTGAGTTCAAGTCCTGAATATCCTTGTTAATTTTCTGTCACGTTGATCTGTCTAACATATACAGCGGGGTGTTAAAGTCTCGCAATATTATTGTGTGGGAGTGTAAGCCTCTTTGCAGGTCTCCAAGAACTTGCTTTTTGTATGTGGGTGCTCCTGCATTGGGGGCACATATATTTAGGACAATTAACTCTTCTTGTTGCATTGATCCCTTTACCATTATGTAATGTCCTTCTTTGTCCTTTTTAATTTTTGTTGGTTGAAGTCTGTTTTATAGAGACTAGAATTGCAACCCCTGCTTCTTTTTTTTTCTTTCCATTTGCTTAGTAAACCTTCCTCCATCCCTGTATTTTGAGCTTATGTGTGTTTTTGCACATGACCACTGTTCTGTGTAGTGACTGCATTGTGCTGGGGGTCCACACAAGACCCCCTTGCCCTTTTACTCTCCAGAGCCTGGAGGCAGCAAAGGCAAAGACTGCAAAACAGCAAAGATGGCAGCCTGCCCCTCTCTCTGGGGGCTCTGTCTCAGGCAGCTATAGAGCCCTTGCTGGCCCAAAAACCCTGGTGGCCCAAAAGTCCATGGTTGGGAGGTCCTGCTCAGTAAGGAGAAATGGGACCAGGAAACTGTGTAAAACAGTCTGGCTGTTTTTCCACAGGGCAGCTGCACTGTGCTAGAGATCTGCTCCAGTCCCTAGTCTCCTCAGACTCCCCAAAGCCCAAAGGCAGCAGCTGCAAAGGATGCAAAACAGCAAAGATGGCCGGCTGTTTCTCCCTCTGGGAGCTCCATCTCAGGGAGGTGTGGAGCCCTTGCTGGCCCAAAAACCCTGGTGGAGATGGCTGGAGTCCCTGGTTGGGAGGTCCTTCCCAGTGAGGGGAAACAGGGTTGGTGACCCATATAAAGAGCAGTCTGACTGCTTTTCCAAAGGGCAGCTAGGCTGTGCTGGGAATCTCCTCCAGTCTGCTCCAGTCTCTAGTTACCTTGGACTCCCCAGAGCCTGAGGGCAGCAGCAGTGATGGCTGCAAGGCAGCAAAGATGGTGGCCTTCCTGTCTCTCTGGGAGCTCTGTTTCATGGAGGTGTGGAACTGCTACTGACTGAGAACACCACTGGGGGTTGGCTGAAGTCCTTGTTCAGGAGGACTCACACAGTGAGGAGAAACAGGATCCAAGACCCATGCAAACCATAATCTCGCCACTTCTCCACAGGGCGGCCATGCTGTGCTAGCCTCAGTCACCTCAGACACTTCAGAGCCCAAAGGCAGCAGCAGCCAACTCCAGGAAATGGCAAAGACGGCAGCCTGTCCCTCCCTCTGTCTCAAATTAAAAAAAAAAAAAGAAAGAAATATGGGATTATGTAATGTGACCAAATGAATGAATTATTGACATTTCTAAGAAAGAAGAAGTAAACAACCTGGAAAGCGTATTTGAGCAAAAAAATTAAGATTTCTCTATTCTTGGTAGAGGTAGACATCCAGTTACAAGAAATCCAGAGAACACCTGTGAGATACTATACAAAATAAACATCATCAAGGCATATAGTCCTTAGACCGTCCAAGGTTAATGCTAAAGAAAAAAAATCTTAAAGGCTGCTAGAGAAAAAGGTCAAATCACATACAAAGGGAACCCCATCAGGATAACAGTAGACTTCTCAGCAGAAACTTTACAAGCCAGGAGAGATTGGGGGTATATTTTCAGCATTCTTAAAGAAAAGAAATTTCAACCAAGAATTTCATATCCTGCCAAACTAAGCCGCATAAACTAAGGAAAAATAAAATTTTTCCATTTAATCAAGCATTAAGGGAGTTAGTTACCACTAGACCAGCCTTACAAGAGATCCTTAAGAGGGTTGTAAACATGGAAATGAAAAAACAATACCTGCTACCACAGAAACACACTTAAGTACATAGCCCAGAGACCCTATAAAGCAACCATAGAATCAAAACTACAAAGCAACCAGCTAACAACTTCACGATATGATCAAAACTTCACATATCAAAATTAATATTGAATATCAATGGTCTAAACGCCCCCACTTTAAAAAGCACACTATTGCCAGTTGAATAAAAACAAAAACCAAGACTTATCCATCTGCTGCCTTGGAGAGACCCATCTCACACACAATGACACCCACAGGCTCAAAGCAAAGGATTGGAGAAAGATCTGTCACACACATGGAAAACAAAAAAGAGCAGCGTTCACTATTCTCATATCAGATAAAACAGACTTTAAACCAGCAACAGTAAAAAAGGACAAAGAAGGTCATTACATTGTGATCGAGAGTTCAATTCTACAAGAAAGCTTAACTTTTCTAAGTACATATGCATCTGACAGCAGAGCACCCAGATTCATAAAACTACTACTTCTAGACCCACAAAAACACTTATACAGACCCACAATAATAATGGGGGACTTCAACATCCCATTGACAGCATTAGATAGATCATTGAGGCAGAAAACTAACAAAAAAATCTGGACTTAAATTCAGCACTTGACCAGTTGGAAGTAATAGACATCTACAGAACAGTCCATTCATCCATTGTAAAATATACTTTCCTCTTACCTGAACATGGAATATATTCCAAGATCAACCACATGCTCAGCCATCATGCAAGTCTTAATAAATTTTTTAAAAAAAGCTCAAATCATACCAACTATACTCTCAGACTACAGTGGGATAAAAATAGAAACTGATACCAAGAAGATCTCCCAAAACCACACAATTACAAGGAAATTAAACAGCTTGCTCCAGAATGACTTTTGGGTAAAAATAAAATTAAGGCAGAAATTACAGTAGAAACTGGGTATCCACCCAAGCAAAAAGAAATTGTTATATCAAAAAGCCACTTGCAGTATGTTTATAGCAGCAGTATTCACAATAGCAAAGTCATGGAATCAACCTAGGTGCCCATCAGTGGTGGATCGGATAAAGAAAATGTGGTACATATTCACCATGGAATACTATGCAGCCACAAAAAGAGCAAAAGCATGCCCTTTGCAGCAAAATGGATAGAGCTAGAGGCCACTTTCCTGAGTGAATTAATGCAAAAACAGAAAATCAAATACCACATTTCCACTTATAAGTGGGAGCTAAACAATGGGTATACACGGACATAAAGATGGAAACAATAGACACTGGGGACTCCAAAATGGGGGAGGGAGGGGAGTAGGGGTTGAAAAACTACCTATTGGGTCTGATGTTCGCTATTTGGGTGATGGGTTCAATGGAAGCTCAAACTTCAGCAATATACAGTTTATCTATGTAACAAAGCTGCACATGTACGCCCTGATTATATTTTTTAAAAAGTCAGGAGTGGTGGAATTTGCCTGTAGTCCTAGCTACTTGAGAGGCAGGCAGGAGGATCACTTGAGCCCAGAAGCTGCAGTGAGCTGTGATCGTTCCACTGCACTCCAGCTGGGTGACAGAATGAGATTCTGTGTCTAAAAACAGAAAAGAATAGAGATAGATAGATGATAGATAGATAGATAGATAGATAGATAGATAGATAGATAGATGATAGATAGATAGATAGATAATAGGTAAAAGATAGATAGATAATAGATGATAGATGATAGATAGATAGATGATAGATAGATAGATAGATAGATAGATAGATAGATAGATAGATAGATTCATTGGTTGAATTTGATTCCCCTCTTTCCTGGTAAAATATTTGGTGATTCCTGATTTCCTTTTTATCTTTGAGTTTGGAAATTCCTATTCATACTTAAGAAAATGACTGTTGCATGCCCCTGGTATTCTGGGGAATGGAATAGAGTATGTTCCAAATTGTGGCAATTATTTGCCATTGCTGTGTGAGTCCCTCCCCTCATCCAAGGGTCAGTAGTACTTGTTATTTCTTCAACTGCCTAATAGTTCAGCTGGCAGTGCTCCTACTTGAAAAATGCTTAGCAAAAATCAAAATGGAGTCAAGGGTCAACCCGCCAAGTTATGCATAAACTAGCTCTGATAAATAACAGCCCTGAGTGAAATTTGTTCCAACTTGTACATCTGTTGATTTTGAGCTGGTCCTTCTCTTCTTGCCTTTCAAACACAACTTTCACTCGTGTATTACAGGTGTTGATGGGTTTGATGGAAGCCCAAACCTCAGCAATACACAATATATCTATGTAACAAAGCTGCACATGTACCCCCTGTTATAAAAAAGAAGTCAGGAGAGGTGGCATTTGCCTGTAGTCCTAGCTACATGGGAGGTAGGCAGGAGGATCACTTGAGCCCAGAAGCTGCAGTGAGCTGTGATCTTTCCACTGCACTCCAGCTGGGTGACAGAGTGAGACCCTGTGTCTAAAAACACAGAATAGATAGATAGATAGATGATAGATGATAGATAGATAGATAGATAGATAAGATAGGTAAATAGAAGATAGAGATATAGATGATAGATAGGTAGATAGATAGGAGATAGATGATAGATAGATAGAGATAGGTAAATAGAAGATATAGATAGATAGATAATAGATAGATGATAGATAGATAGATAGATAGATAGATAGATAGATAGATAGATAGATAGATTCATGGGTGTTGAAAACAGAGCAAGCAGTAAGGAGGCCAGTGTGGGAAAGGGAAGAGTTGAGGGAGATAAGGGCAAAAAGATACAAGGGGTAATCACGTGTAGGGTCTTGTGGGCCATGGTGAAGACTGTGGCTATTTTTCTGAGCAGGGCTTTGAGCAAGAGACAGACATCCATGACTGAGGGGCTGTATTGAGATGAGATTGTGGAAAGGCAAAGGTGGAAGCAAGGAGACAGTGAAGGGTTGGACCAGAGTGGGAATGGTGGAAATGTTGAGAAGTGGTAGGACACTTTAAAGGTAATGCCAAAAGGATTTGCTGACTGATTGAACGTGCGGTGTGGAGGCCACGAAAATTCACGCCTCAGACCTCCTTCTGTCAGTAATATCATTGACCAGTGACCCTAGTAGCTGGCTTTGAAATCCACCCTTCTTACTTCTGATTTCATGCTTCTCACGGGCTTCTCCTGCCTGTAACAGCACAGCAGGAAGACAGGGGACTCTTCTGATGGGGCAATTTTCACCCAAGAACCCCGTGGGCCTAATACCTCCTCTTTTTTTCTCTCCACGAGGGAGACTTAAAGTAGACTTAGATTGCAGACTGACAGCTCTCCCAGCCTCCCCCAGCTCCCTTTCTTTTTGCTTCACAGTCTCCTAATAAATCTCCTGCACATCTAATCCAGTCCAGGAGTTTCAGAAGACCTGGACTAAGGGAGAGAAAGTAGTTCAAGAATGACAACAAGGTCTAGGAAATTGGAATGATGGAGATGACATTTCCTGAATGTATGCCTGCGTGAATAACACTTCCATAGCCTCATAGGTATCCTGGCACTGGTTTGCTGGATGATTTGAATTTGTATTACCTATATGGCTTTGGAGAAAGCCCTTGACAACGTTCAGGACAAAGTGTGCCTGGAGATCCCAGGGCAGTCCCTTGCTCTGGACTTTGCGGACTCCGCTCCGCCAGCAGAGGGCAGCAGAGGTAGCCAAGGCTGCAGAACCAGGATCCCTCCCTGAGAACGCTGAAAGATGATGAGTGCCTCTGAGTTTAAGTTGTTGAGATTTCAGGTGATTTTAGCCTCATGCATAGTATGTATCTATTCACAAAGATTGTGAAATTCACGGATGAAGGAAAAGAGGAGACTTTATTTGCAGAAGGCAAAACAATCCACGGATCTAGGAAACGCTGCCCTGGGGAGAGGGAAAGTGCACTTTGCGCAGAACGGAGGAGGGCTGCTATTTGGTATCTGGGTCGCACACTCAGCCTTACATACATACTAGCAGGGTGGGGAAAAAATGCAAATATGCATGAGGGAAGTCAGGCATTGCACAGTGGAAAACATATATGGAACATACATCCCATATTCACATTTTGGTAGGATTTAACATTAAAATGAAGTGGAATTCGGCCCTTTACATCAAAAGGTAAACTACAGGACATACAGACAATTTTTGAACAATGTCCACAAGCTGACTGAAACTGGCTTAAGGTCTGCAGCTATTGATCAATAAGGAATGTTTATAAGACCCGTCCTCTGTCCAATCTGACTTATGGCAGGACAGCATGGTAGAGGACGGAGCCAGGCAAGGTAGGGAAGAGTGTTGTAGTGTTGTAGGACTTTCTCCTTAGTTCGGCTAAAAGCCAGGTTCTTCTCGCACAACCATGAAAAGTTAGGCTTGCGGACACTCTGCAGGGTGAGAAGGACAGGGTTTATTGGGTGAAAAGGAAAAATGGGGAAACAGGGACTCTCAGCAAAGCGAGAGTCCTGCCAGTGGGCTTCCCACCTCATAGACTGGAATCACCGGGTTACCACCCGGAACAGGAGAAGCCAGGCTCCTCCTCACTGCAAACCAACAGGAAATTCCTCAAGGCTTCACCCGAGTGCGCACTCCTCCCAGTGCGCAGGCCAGTCGGAAGTCCTGCCGGGGAACCCTTTTTACTTGGCTGTCTCAGTAGGCTGGCAACCGGCACTCTGTCAGGGTCAGCTGGGAAATCTTCCAACTGTAGTGTTTTTTGGCAATGCTTTTCAGGTGATAGTTTCTGCGTAATTACCGGGAAAAAAAACCTATGGCAATTAATAACACCGGGATGTGTTACAGATCCCTCATCCTCCTAGCTATGAAATTTTTTGGGTTTATCTCATTTTAGCTACAGGGAGTCCATCTCGTCTTCTGTTGGGGTATATTTTAACTTAGCTAATAAGTGTTGCTTTTTATTAAAACTCAACTACTGGGAAACTGTGACCTCAGGACACTGTGGCCAGAACACTTGTGAATGAGAGAATGACAAGTGGGAGGTCCAACCTGTTCAAGGAAGAGTTCTCAAAGTGGGCACTGCAACAAAAACCAAGTCCATTCCTTAAAGGTGACTTCCTTGTTCCACAGGCATCTCTAATTGTAATAGATTTAAATGTTAAGTCTCCACCCCAAGGTGAACGTGGGACACGTGTATCATGAATGTGTGCTTATCATGCATACATGCAACCCTCCCTTTGCAAGGATTGCAAACACACAGAGAATGATAATGAGGTTTTTGATACTGAATTACTCAAGTGGGGAGGGGAAAGTGCCTGAAAATTATAGTTTGGGGTCACTATTCCCATCTTGTGCCTACTAAGGTTTCCGGTATATAATTACTCAATATTTATTAAGTGAAGAAATGAATTAGTCAAAATGCAGTGAAAAGTAAAATTATTTTAGTTTCATGAATTTTTTAAATTTTTCTATACAATTTATATATTTTGCAGATATGACAGTTACCTAGGGAATGTGGGAACTTTCTATAATATGCATGTTATATAAAGATTTTCTGGCCAGGTGCAGTGGCTCATGGACGTAATCCCAACACTTTGGGAGGCTAAGGTGGGTGGATCACTTGAGGTCAGGAGTTTGAGACCAGCTGGCCAATGTGGTGAAACCCTGTCTCTACTAAAAAATACAAAATTTAGCTGGGCATGGTGGTGCACTCCTGTGATCCCAGGTACTCAGGAAGCTAAGGCAAGAAAATCGCTTGAACCCGGAAGGTAGAGGTTGCAGTGAGCCAAGATTGTGCCACTGCACTCCAGCCTGGGCAACAGAGCTAGACTCCATCTAAAAAAAAAAAAATCTGTAATTAAAAAGAAATTAGAAACCAAAGCTGAATGAAAATCTTGAAATTATGAAAAAGCAAAATAAAACTACAATGCAATTACCTTTTTTTTCTCTCTTTTTAGATTGGTAAAGTGTGAATACATTTGAGGGCATCTGCTATAAAGGAGAGTATGGAGAAATGGGCACTCCTCTAGGTTATTGCCAGGAATGCATGTTTGTACAGCCTTTGAGGGAAGGCAGTTTTAGAAGCCCTGTTTTCATGGGGAGAACTTTCGCTGAAGAGAAATGAAGCTTTTTAGATCAAGGACATTTCATCTGTGTCCACAGACTGCCTGGGCATTCGTTTAAATTCAAGGGCTCTCTAAAGTTGAAGAGAAGAAAAATCGTATCTTTATTTTTATTAACTTCCAACCATAATTTAGGATTTTCTTCAATTATAAATGTATGTACCAAACTACCAGAGATTTCCATTATCCCTGACTTCATCAAGATGGTAGTGAGAAAATTTCATATCTGATTATAGCTGAGAATAACTGAACTACCATTTACTCTTATAATATTGAAAGTATTTAATTTATGATTGTATAATGAACTCATTAAATATGAGACTTTGCAGCTAGATGCAGCTAGATATGATGTAATTAATTTAAGATATTCAGATAACTATATGTCAATATAATTTTGTTTCCTTCATATTCCTTGTGTTTTATTTCCCCCATTCATGACTCGTGATCCTGAGAATGGGGTAATAGGCCTCCCCAGACTGTCAAGCGGCCCACTGCACAAAAGCATTTAAAAGTTATGCTTTAGATGAAGAGGGGCTCAGTGGGCTACTGATGACCAGAGTTTAATTATACAGAGAAAGTCTAAGGAAGGAAAAATCTTAGCCATGGCGGGAGGTGAAGAGAAGAAAACCCAATGCAATCCTCCCACTAGATTTTTTTGTTTTTTAAGTAATTTGGAAGTCACAAATTTTGTTTTGAATTTAATTAGCACTGTTAGCTTAAAAATCACAAGTTTAGAAACTTAGAAAGGAGAGCTTTATTTCTTAAGGAATTTACAACCTGCAGGCAGGGAGCACAGCCTCTGGCTGAAATACCAAAAGCAAGCACTTCCAGGGAGAGAGGGATAAGACAGGAATCAATGCTGACTGGGTAGGCCGAGTATACATATTCAACAGGATACAGGGGGAGCTATAAATATTAACGAAAGTGAGTTGCATGCATACAAGGTAAGCAAACGTACATGATACATGCATCCCATGTTCACCTCGGGGTGGAGACTTAACATTTAAATCTATTACAATTAGGCCCTATTATTCAGAAGGTGAAGCAGGGACTGGAAGGTGCTAAAATGCACAGCCTCTGCAAGACCAGCCAGAACCAGCCTACGGGGTCAGTGGTGTCTTATCAGAAAAAAGCTATGGAAATCAGTCACTTGTTCAATCAAAGCTGTGGTTATGCAGGGTCAGTTTGTCGGCTTCTGGCATGAAGGAGCTACAATTGTTTCCATATTGCTTATCTTGAGGCCAGTGCTTGTTCAGCTGCTAGAGAAAAGGAAAAACCTTGTGACAGTTAGAACATAGATTTTTGTTTGTTTGGTTTTTTGTTTTTGTTTTGTTTTGTTTTGTTTTGTTTTGTTTTTAAGACGGAGTCTTACTCTGTTGCCCAGGCTGGAGTGCAGTGGCGCAATCTCGGCTCACTGCAACCTCTACGTCCCCAGTTCGAGCAATTCTCCTGCCTCAGCTTCCCAGTAGCTGGGATTACAGGCGCCCGCCACCACAACCAGCTAATTTTTGTATTTTTAGTAGAAACGGGGTTTCACTATGTTGGCCAGACTGGTGTTGAACTCCTGACCTCAGGTGATCTGCCTGCCTCGGCCTCCCAGAGTGCTGGGATTACAGGCATGAGCCACTATGCCTGGCCCATAGTTTATTCTTTAAGTGTAGGAGTGCTTGACTTCACCTTTGCCTGATATGTCCTTAGGTCCTGTTTATAATTTTGTATCTAATTGCCACAAAGAGTTTGTTTTGTCAGTCTTATGATCTCTATTTTAACATAAATGTTGATGGTTATTGTGTCTAAACCAGAAAAGGGAGCCCATAGAATGAGGTGTGCCTGACCTCTTGTCCCTGTCATGGCCAGGAACTCAAGTTTTTTTAAGGTTTCTCTGGGGTCCCCTTGCCAAGAAGGGGTCCATTCAGTTGGGTGGGGGGCTTAGCATTATATTTTTAATTCTTAGCTAATTTTTCAGCAATATGCTTATGGCTGTATTTCTCTAATTAACAAAAGAAAATAAGAGTATCTATGCACACTCCCACATGTAAAATAACAAACCCAGCAAAGTTTAGACCAATTTAATGTCAATCATTTTTTCCAATAACTGCAGTATGAGATTTTTGAACCCAGATTATTCCTGAAATTTTACTTTTACGTATCATTTTTGTCAATAATTACTTTTTGTCTTTCATTCTATTTTATCATATTTGAAACACGAAATTAAGCTTAATTCTCTATTTTATTGGTTTTAATATTTATCTCCTTAATAGTTTACCAACTCTTGATTTCTTTATTTTGATTCACTTCTCATTACACTGGAACATAACATTACTCAATTTTTCAGTTAGGGTGCACGGGTGATACACTTCCTGAATGTATACACCTGTAGGAAAGTCTTTGTGCAGACATCACACACGAACAGCAGCTTGGCTTGTAGCAATATTTTATATTGCATCCTTTTGAGGCAGGAGAATAGGGTCTGGAGGTAGGTAACCTAAGGCCGTTTCACGCTGACTTCCTAGAGCTAAATTGAAAGGAAAATCCTACCTGTCCACACCTAAGAAACAAAAGCACCAGAGGCTACTCCCTTTGCAAACCGCCACATTTTCTGCACTGCAAATTGGAAATTGAAAGTACCTCTGACTGGTTGCAAAAAGCAGAGAGGGGAAGGGGGGTGATATTACTCCCCATATCGCTGGGGGTGTCCAACCCCCCGTGATATGGTTCGTAATATCCAGGGGGTAGAGGGAGGTGATATTACTCCCCATATCGCGGGGGATGTCCACCTGCCTGTGATATGGTTCATAATATCCAGGGGGGACAGGGGGGTGATATTACTCCCCATATCGCGAGCGGTGTCTAACCCCCTGTGATATGGTTCGTAATATCCAGTGGGGGAGAGAGGAGGGTGATACTACTCCCCATATCGTGGGGGATGTCCACCCCCCTGTGATATGATTCATAATATCCAGCAGGGGAGAGGAGGGTGACATTACTCCCCATATTGCGGGCGGTGTCCACCTCCCTGTGATATGGTTCGTAATATCCAAGGGAGATATTACTCCAAATATCACATTGGATATACACCCTGTGATAATATTTGTAATATTTAGGGAGATATTACTTCTAATATCACTGTGGGTGTACACCTTGTGTGTACACACTGTGATATTGTTTGTAATGTACTAGGAAGATATTACTCTTAATATCACTGTGGGTGTACACCCTGTGATATTAGAAGTAATAGTCTAGAGAGATATTACTCCTAATGTCACAGTAAGTGTACACTTTGTGATATTATTCATAATTCCCTAGGGGAATGTTACAGCTAATGTCACAGTGGGTGTACATACTGTGATATTATTTGCAATATCCTAGGGAATGTTACTTCTAATGTCACAGGGGGTGGTCACCCTGTGATATTAGTCGTAATATCCTAGGTGTATGTTACTCCTATCGCAGGGGGTGTACAATCTGTGATATTTGTCATAATATTTTAGGAGGATGTTACTCCTACTGTCACAGGTGGTGTACACCTGTGATCTTTTTTGTAATATGCTGGGGGAATGTTAATCCTAATGTCACTGGGAGTGCACACCTGTGATATTATTCGTAATATCCTAAGGGGATGTTACTCCTAATGTCAAAATGGGTGTACACTCTGTGATATTATTCGTAATATCCTAAAGAGATGTTACTCCTGATTTTACAAGGGGTGTGCACCCTGTGATATTATTCTTAATATCCTAGGGAGATTTTACTCATAATGTCACATGGGGAGTACACCCTGTGATATTATTCATAATATCCTAGGGGGATGTTACTTTTAATGTCACGGTTGGTGTACACCCTGTGATATTATTCATAATATCTTAGGGGGATGTTACTCCTAATGTCACAGTGAATGTACACCCTCTGTAATATTATTCGTAATATCCTGGAAAGATAGTACTCCTAATTTCACAGAGGGTGTACACCCTGTGATATTATTCATAGTATTCTAGGGAGATAATACTTTTAATGTCACAATAGGTGTACACCCTGTGATATTTTTTGTAATATCCCAGGGGGACGTTACTGCTAATATCACAGTGGGTGTACACTCTGTGATATTATTTGTAATATCCTAGGGAGATATGACTCCTAATATTACTGTGGGTTTATGCCCAGTTATATTATTCATAATATACTAGGAAGATGTTACTCCTAATATCACAGTGGGTGTACACCATGAGGGTACACTTTGTGGTATTATTCATGATATCCTAGGTAAATATTTTTTATACTATCACACTGGATGTACACACTGATAATATTCATAATATCCTAGGGAGCTATTACTTCTAATTTTACAGTGTGTGTACAAACACTGTGATATTTTTTGTAATATCTTAGGGAGATATTAATTTCAATATTATAGTAAGTGTACGCCCTGTGATATTATTTGTAATATCTTTGGGAGATAATACTTTTAATGTCATAGTGGGTGTGCACCCTGTGATATTATTCATAATATCCTAGAGCAATGTTACACCTAATGTCCCAGTGGGAGTACACAATGTGACATTATTTGTAATATCCTAGCCTGATGTTACTTTTAATGTCACAGGCTGTGTTCACCCTGTGATATTATTATTATTTTTTTTTAATTTTTGAGACAGTCTTGCTCTGTCGCCCAGGCTGGCGTGATCTCGGCTCACTGCAAGCTCAGCCTCCCGGGTTCACGCCATTCTCCTGCCTCAGCCTCCCGAGTAGCTAGGACTACAGGTGCCCACCACCACGCCCGCCTAATTTTTTGTATTTTAGTAGAGATGGGGTTTCACTGTGTTAGCCAGGATGGTCTCGATATCCTGACCTCGTGATCCACCCGCCTCGGCCTCCCAAAGTGCTGGGATTACAGGCGTGACCCACCGCACCTGGCCCAATATTATTCTTAATATTCTAAGGATATGTTACTCCTAATGTCACAGTGGGTGTACCCCCTGAGATATTATTTGTAATATCCTAGGGAAATATAACTCCTAATATCACAGTGGGTGTACAACATGTGTATACTCCCTTGATAATATTTGTAATATCCAGGGTAAATATTGTCTCTAGTATCACAGAGGGTGTACACCCTGTGATATTTTTTATAATATTTTAGAGAGGTATTGAGACTAATATCACAGTGGGAGTACACCATAGGTGTACACTTTGTGATATTCTTCCTTATATCTTAGGGAGATATTACTCCTAATATCACAGTGGGGGTATATCCTGTGATATTATAAGTAATGTCCTAGGAAGGTATTACTCCTAATATCCCAGTGGGTGTACATCCTTTGATATTATTCCTAATATCCTAGGGGGATGTTAATCCTAATGTCACAGGGGGTGTACACCCTGTTACATTATTCATAATATTCTAGGGGGATGTCACTTTTAAAGTCACACGGGGTGTGATACATCCCCCTAGGATATTACAAATAATATCACAGTGGGGGTGTACCCTGTGATATTATTCGTAATATCCTAGGGAGATGTTACTCCTAATGTCACAGAGGTGTTCTCCCTGTAATTTTTTTGTAATATACTAGGAAGATGTTACTCCTAATGTCAAAGGGGGTGTGCACAATATACTAGTGGGCTATTACTACTAATGTCACAATGCGTGTACACCTTGTGATATTATTCGTAATATCCTAAGGGGATGTTGCTCCTATTGTCACAGGGGGTTTACTCTCTGTGATATGATTCACAATATCCTAGGGGTATGCTACTCCTACCTCACAAAGTGTGTACACTTTGTTATATTATTCACAATATCCTAGAAAGATGTTACTCCTCGTGTCACAGGGGGTGTACACCCTGTGATATTATTTGTAATATTCTAGGAAGATGTTACTCCTAACGTCACAGAGAGTGTACACCCTGTGAATTTATTCATCATAGCTTTGGGGGATGTTACTCCTAATGTCACACATGTTGTACAAACAGTGATATTATTCATCATATTTTATGGAACTGTTACTCCTAATACCACAGGGGCTGTACACCCTGTAATATTATTTGTAATATCCTAAAGAAATGTTACCACTGATATCACAGGGGGTGTACACCATGTGATATTATTTCCAATATTGTAGAGGGATGTTACTCCTAGTGTCACTCTGTGATATTGTAGCTTATATCTTAAGGAGATATTACTCCTAATATCACAGTGTTTGTACCCCCTGTGATATTATTCATAATATCCTAGAAATATGATACTCTTAATATTACAGAGGATGTATACCCAGTGATATTATTAGTAATACCCTAGGGGGATGTTACTCCTACTGTCACAGGGGTGTACACCCTGTGATATTGTACATGTCACACATGTTGTACAAACAGTGATATTATTCATAATATTTTATGGAAATGCTACTCCTAATATCCTAAAGAAATGTTATCACTAATGTCACAGGGGTTGTACAACCTGTGATATTATTCCCAATATTGTTACTCCTAATGTCACAGGTATACACACTGTGATAATATTGGTAATATCCTAAATGGATGTTACTTCTAATGTCACAGTGTGTGTACATCCTCTGATATTATTCGTCATATCCTGGGGGAATGTTACTCCTAATGTCACACAGGGTGTTCTCCCTTGATATTATTCATAATATTTTAGGCAGATGTTACTCCTCATGTCACAGGCAATGTACGCCCTGTGATATTATTTGGAATATCCTAGGGGACATTACTCCAAATGTCACAGGAGGTGTACACTCTGTGATATTACTCATAATATTTCAGGAAAATGTTACTCCTAATGTCACCGGGCATGTACACCATGTGCGTACACCCCCTGTGATATTTCTTGTAATATTCTACCCAGATGTTAATCCTAATATTACTATGCTGTTCACCATGTGTGCACATCCCAGGGCTATAATTTGTAATATCCTAGAAGGATGTTACTCCTAACATCACAAGGGGTATACACCATGTGTGTACACACCCTGTGATATTATTCATAATATCTTAGGGAGATTCTACTCCTAATTTTACAGGGTGTATACACCTTAAAGTCATATTTTTGAACTCCACACTTTTAAAGTCACATATTATTCCTAATATCTTAGAGGGATGTTGCTCCCAATGTCACATGGAGTGTACACCATGTGTGTACACCTTCTGTGATATTATTCCTATATCCCAGAAAAATATTATGTCTAATGTAACAGGAAGTGTACACCATGTGCATAAACCACATTTGATATTATTCATAATATACTAGGGGGATATTACTTTTAATGTCACAAAGGGTGTACAAAATGTCACAGGGGGTGTATGCCTTGTGGTATTATTCGTAATATTCAGAAAGATGTTACTCCTAAGGTCACAGGGGTTGTACACTCTTCGATATTATTTGTAATCTTATAGGGAGATATTACTTTAAATATCACAGTGGGTGTACACACATGATGTACACCCACGGTGATATTATTTGTAATATCTTAGAGAGATATAACTTCTAATATCACAGTGGGTGTACCCCATGTGTGTACACCCTGTGATATTATTTGTAATAACCTAGCTTCGAAGATATGACTCCTAATATTACAGTGGGTGTACACTCTATGATATTATTCATAATGTCCTAGGAAGATGTTACTCCTAATATCACAGTAATAATTCGTAATATCACAGAGAGAGATTTCTCCTAATATCACAGTGGGTGTACACTCTGTGATACTACTCATAATATCCTAGAGGGATATTGCTCCCAATATCACAGTGGGTGTATACCCTGTGATAATATTGTCCTAATAACCCATAATACCCTAGGGAGATATTACTCCTAATATATGGTGAGTGTACACCATGTGTGAACACCCTGTGATGTTATTCGTAATATTCTAGGGAGATATTACTCCTAATGTCATAGTGGGTGCACACCACGTGTGTATATTCTGTAATGCTATTCATAATATCTTAGAAAGTTACTATTCCTAATGTCACAGTGGGTGTATACCATGTGTGTACACTCTGTGATGTTATTCATAATATCCTAGGGAGATATTTCTCCTAATATCACAGTGGGTGTACATTGTATGTGTACACCCTGTCCTATTATTCGTTATATCCTAGATAGATATTACTCCTAATATCACAGTGAGTACACACCATGGGTGTACATTCTGTGATGTTATTCGTAATATCCTAAGGAGATATTACTCCTAATGTCATAGTGGGTGTACAGCCTGTGATATTATTCATAATATCCTAGGGAGGTATTACTCCTATTATCACAGTGGGTGTACTCCCTATGATATTATTTGTAATATCCTAGGGAGATATTACTCCTAATATCAGAGTGGGTGTATAGCCTGTAATATCATTTTTAATATTCTAAGGAGATATTACTGTATAACCTGTGATATTATTTGTAACATTTTAGGGACATATTTTTCCTAAAGTCACAGTGGGTGTACACCCTGCAATATTCTTCCTAATATCACAGTGGGTGTACACCATGTGTGATATTGTTCCTAACATCCAGGAGGGGAGAGGATGATATTACTTCCAATAGCACAGAAGGTGCACACCCTCCCCATGATATTGTTCCTAATTTCCAGGGAAGATGATGACATTATTCCCAATATCACTGGGGGTGTACACCCTCCCCATGGTATTGTTCCTAATTTCCAGGGAAGATGATGACATTATTCCCAATATCACTGGGGATGTACACCCTTCCTGTGATATTCTTCTTAATATCCAGGGGTGAAGAGAATGATATTATTCCCAATATCACAGGGGGTGTACACCCCCTCCTGTGATATTGTTGCTAATATTCTGGGGGGTAGAGAATGATATTACTCCCAGTATCGCAGGGGGTGTTCACCCCCCCCATGGTATTGTTTCTAATATCCGGGCAAGAAGAGTATGATATTACTCCCAATATCACGGGGGGTGTACATCTTTTTGTGATATTGTTTCTAATATCCAGGGAAATAGTGGATGATATTACCCCCAATATCGCAGAAAGTGGACACCCCCCTGGGATATTGTTCCTAATATCCAAACGGGGAGAGGATGATATTACTCCCAATATCGGAGGAAATGTAAACCACCCCTGTGATATTGTTCCTAATATCCAGAGAGGAAAAGAATGATATTACTCCCAACAGCATAGGAAATGTACACCCACGCTATGATATTTTTCCTAATATCCAGGGGGAGAGAGGATCTTATTACTTCCAATATCGCAGGGTGTGTACACCCCCTCTGTGATCTTGTTGCTAATATCCAGGTTGGGGGAGGATGATATTGCTCCCATAATCACAGGGGTGTGCACCAGCCCTGTGATCTTGTTCGTAATTCCCTGGGTTGAGAGGATGATATTACTCCCAATATCACAGAAATGTATATCCCCTGTGATATTTTTCCTAATATTCAGGGCGGGAGAGGATAATATTACTCCCAATATCGCAGAAGGTATGCATCCCTCCTGTGATATTGTTAATATTATCCAGGGAAGAAGAGGATGATACTACTCCCTATATCACAGGAAGAGTACGTCCCTTCTGTGATATTGTTCCTAATATCGCAGGGGTTGTACACACCCCTTGCGATATTGTTGCTCATATCAAGGAGAAAAGAGAATAATATTACTTCCAATATCGCTGGTGGTATATACCCCACCTGTGATATTGATCCTAATATCCAAAGGGAGAGAGGATAATATGACTCCCTATATATGACAGCAAGTGTACACCCACCCTGTGATCTTGTTCCTAAATTCCAGAGAAGAAGAAGATGATATTACTCACAATATCGCAGGGAGTGTACGCCCTTTCTGTGATTTAGTTCCTAATACGCTGGTGCGAGGGAATGATATCACTTTCAATACGGCAGAGGGTGTACACACTTCCTGTGATATTGTTTCTAATATCCATTGCAAGAGAGGATGATATTACTCCCAATATCGCTGGCGGATACACCCCCTCTGTGATATTGATTCTAATATCCAAAGGGGAAGGGGCTGATATTACTCCCAAGGTCGCAGAAAGTGTACACCTACCCTGTGATATTGTTCCTAATATCCAGGGGGAGAGTTGAAGATATTACTCCCAATATCACAGCAGGTGTACAAACCCCTGTGATTTTGTTCCTAATATTAAAGGAGGGGTAGGATGATATTACTCCCAATATCTCAGCGGGTATACACCACCTTTGTGATATTGTTCCTAATATCCAGAGGACAAGAACATGATATTACTCTCAATATCGCAAAAAGTGTACACCCACCCTGTGATATTGTTCGTAATATCCTGGGCAGGGGAGAGAATGATATAACTCCCAATATCACAGGGGGTGAACATTCACCCTGTGATATTGTTCCTAATATACAGGGTGGGGAAGAATGATATCACTCCCAATATTCCATGGAATGTACAAGTCCCCTGTGATATAGTTTCTCATGTCCATGGGGCGAGGGATGATATTACTCCAAATATGGCAGGGGTTGTACACACCCTCTGTGTTATTGTTTGCTAATATCAAGGAAAAAAGAGAATAATATTACTTCCAATATCACTGGTGGTGTATACCCCACCTGTGATGTTGATCCTAATATCCAAAGCTGGAGAAGATAATATGACCTTCAATACTGCATGTGTTGTACACCCCTCCGTGATATTGTTCTTAATATCCAAATGGGGAGAGGATGATATTACTTCAAATATCGCAGGGATTGTACACACCCCCTGTGATATTGTTGCTAACATCCAGGAGGGGAGAAAATAATATTACTTCCAATATTGCAGGTGGTGTATACCCAACCTGTAATATTGTACCTAATATCCAAAGAGGGAGGGGATGATATTACTCCCAATATCAAAGGGTGTGTACACCACCCCCTGTGATATTGTTTTTAATATTCTGGGGGTAAGAGGATGATATTAGTCCCGAAATTGCAGAGGGTGTACACCACCCTTGTGATATTGTTCCTAATATCCAGGGGGGAGAGGATGATATTACTCCCGATATCGCAGAAGTTGTACACCCCCTGTGATATTTTTCGTAATATTCAGGGAGGGAGAGGATGACATTACATTCAATATCGCGAGGGGTGTACACCCCCACTATTATATTGTTACTAATATCCAAGAAGGGAGAGGATGGTATTACTCCCAATATCGCAATGGGTGTACATTACCCCTGTGGTATTGTTTCTAATATCCAGGGGGGGAGACAATAATACTACCTTCAATATCGCAGGAAATGTACATCCGCCTGTGATATTGTTGCTAATATCCAGGGGTAGAGAGAATGATATTACTCCCAATATCGTAAAAGTGTACGCCTCCCCTGTGATATTGTTCTTAATATCCGGGAAATGAGTATGATATTTCTTCCAATATCAAAGGGAGAGTACACGCCCCTGTGATATTGTTCCCAGTATCCAGTGGGGGAGAGGATGATATTACTCCCGATATGGCAGGAGGTGTACACTCTTCTGTCATATTGATCATAATTTTCAACAGGAAAGATAATATTACTCGAAATATCGTGAATACCCAGTGTGTCCACCCCCCTGTGATATCGTTCGTGATATCCGGGGGTGGGAGAGGGGTTGATATTACTCCCCATATCACGGGGAGTGTCCACTGTCCTGTGATATGGTTCATAATATCCATTCGTAATACTGCAGTGCTTTCTGCAACCAATCAGATGTTTGCATAGGAGTGTGATCTTTGTAACTTTACTTCAATGTGTGATTGGTTGCTTTCCACAACCAATTAGCCTGATTCCAGGCCACCACTTCATTTACATGAGGTGAGCACCAAGTGGCCAATGGGAGACCTCTAGGGGGTATTTGAACCCAAGAAGATTCTGTATCCCGGGCACTTGAGCTGCTCCTTGGGCCCTTTCCCACACTGTGGAGAGTACTTTCATTTTCAATAAATTCCTGCTTTTGTTCTTTCATTGCTTCATTCTTTCCTTACTTTGCTGTGTGTTTTGTCCAATTCTTTGTTCAAAACACCAAGAACCTGGACAACTTGCAGTCAGGACCCTTTATTGGTAACACTTTCCCCTCAAAATGTTGCAGATAGCTTCCTTCACTTCTAATGGTGCCGAGGAAGAAACATCCAAAGACGCCTGATGCTTTTGCCCTTTTGTAGCTAATCTGCCTGGATACTTTGAGAATAGTTTTATCCTTAAAACTCAAAATGTCCAGTAGGAAATAACTAGATGTCGGTCACTTTTGTTAATTTTGCCAGTTATACAGAAGGATGTCTCTGCTTGCACACCTGTATCCTTCGGTCAATCTTCTTTCAAAGCATCAGTTATTCTTCTTCTTATTTTTTTTTTTTTTTTGTCTGAGATGGAGTCTCGCTCTGTCGCCCAGACTGGAGTGCAGTGGCACGATCTCAGCTTACTGCAAACTCCGCCCCCTGGGTTCACGCCATTCTCCTGCCTCAGCCTCCCGAGTAGCTGGGAATACAGGCGCCCGCCACTATGCCCGGCTAATTTTCTGTATATTTAGTAGAGAGGGGGTTTCACCGTGTTAGCCAGGATGGTCTGGATCTCCTGACCTCGTGATCCACCCGCCTCGGCCTCCCAAAGTGCTGGGATTACAGGCGTGAGCCACCGCGCCCAGCCCAAAGCATCAATTACTCTTAAGTTAAATATCTGCCCTTGGTCTGCTAAACCTATCTTTTTATGCTTCACACACATTCTTCAGGCATAAGTTTCAGTTTGTTTATAAAATATTCAATCTGAAATTAAACAAAGGTGATCAGGAGAGACTCCCCTACTCCTTGTCGGCCTCCTTATGTGATAACAAGATGTCATTGAGATGGATCTGAATGTCCGATGAATGACCTGATTAAATGTCAGGCCAAAGGTGGAATGAGGATTCAAGTCACATTCCTTGCCTGGTTAGAATCTGACCCTCTCGCATTCTTCTCTTCCACTGTCATCTATACTTTATCTAAGGGCTGGACTCTGTTTTCAATCTTTGCCCAGTTGAGGACAAAGATCCCAATCTACTTCTTAGTCTAGTTCCCTCTAATTGCTCAGCTACTCCTTATATATGGCTGATTCTCCAGTTGAGCCATCCCCTCTGCAGACTTGGTTCAGAAGTGCTGCAGATTCTCCTGCTGTAAGTGCCCCAGCAGCCTCACTGTGCAGTGGGTGGGACCTACTCTATAGATGCTGCTGGGGAAGCTATAGCTGATTCTGCCCCGTAGAACTCCCTGCAGGAAAATACATATAATCAGAGCATGAGATGAAGAGCCTGGCAAACCACAGGGTATTTCACAGCTCTCTGCCAAGCCCTGCTTCAGGAAGAAAGACAGCTTGTTGCTTCAGCAGGAAACCTTACTCTAAGGAATTTCTCAGTAAACGCCTTACAGACTTCAAGTCTGATTAATAATTGGCTGCAATTTCTTTTTTTCTTTCAATCATTTTTGGGTGATTTTAACCTTAGTGGCCTTACACTTTTGCCTTTTCATTTTATATATTTTACTTTCATCTTAAACACACCTGGGAGCAAGCATAACTCAGCAGGCCTGGGCTGCTCAAATCCTGCATTTTTCTAAGAAAAGACTGGCCTGTGATAAACAACTCTCGTAAATAACCTGTGAGCCTTTGGAATACACCTGTTTTCATTCCATTCACCTGGGGCCTTGGGCCTCACTGTATTCAATTTGACCTCTGGGGTGGGGTATAGGGCTGGTGACTAAGTAGCTAAGGTCAATATATGACTCCATGCCTCGATGAGTCACCCCCAATAAAAACTAGACACCAAGTCTCAGGTGAGCTTTCCTTATGAGGAATAATAACTATTATTATGAATAAATATTCTTTTTATTTTCCTGATGTTATGTTTTTTCAAACAATCTTATTTTTAGTGAATTACTTTTAAACTTTGCTCTTATGAAAATTGTTTTTCTCCTCTTGTGTTCAGATGCTTCTGCTTTGAATATCATCTATTTAATCTATTCTCTTTTTTGCACCAGTTCCTAGTTTTAATCCTGCCGTACCTTGTATAACTAGTCTCTTGTGTTCTCTTGTTTGTTGATCCTTTTATTCCTTTTTGTTACTAACATCTATGATGGTTGGCAGAATATAAATGTAAAGAAGTGTGAAGAGTAGAGAATTTACAGAAATGTTGGAGAGACAAAGAGAAGGAAGGATGCTTGCTTATACCCCACTATCTCTGAGTGTAGATGTCTACACCAAATTTCACAGCCTATTTAAACACAGGTTATCAAAGAACCCCCATTTCAGGAGACAGAAGATGAGAGCATCATTAGCCTACTCCTGACTTCCTGCTCACAGTACGTTTGATCATGCAATCCAGACAGCATATTTGGTCACCTGGGAAAAAGATGCCTGCAATGCTTTTTCTAATAATTCATACTGTCTGGTGCTTGTCCAGTGGCTGGATTTCAGGCAAAAGATGACAAAACGCAATGCTACCAACCACAAGGGGCAACACAGGGTGGAGTTACATATACCAAGCCTGACCCTGCATGAGATTAACCTCCTGAGAGGCAGGCCTGAAGGATTATCCCAGAGCATATTCTGTGGCTAGGCACATGACATCGTACTCCAGCTCATTTTCAACATGTCATGGCAAGTTTCTTGCACTCTGGTAGGGTCAGAGGTGGATGCTCTGGGAGATGGCTCTGATGAGCTACCCTCTCTCCTCCTGCACCTGCAGAGTAATTGTGAACAGCAAGAGGGTTTATGTGCAGTTTGCAGCTCTTCAAGCCTTCAGGTCCTCTACCAGGCAACTGAGACCTGAGAAGAAAGGCAAATCACATGGTAAACAAACAAGCTGGCTCCCTATGTTAAGATAATAGGCCATGGCTCCCCTTTCCATCCCAAAGGGACACATCAGAAGCTGAACTCCCAAGACAGTTTGCCAGCCTGCCCAAGTGAAGAGTGTGCTTGACAGGCATACTATCAAATTTCATGTATCGGCACATTTGTCAAGACACTGTTGTAAGACCCCCTCCTCCCAAATATCACGCGTAGGCTTCTGTGAGGCTCTTACAGAGAGGGAAATCTCTTCTATTTAAGTTTATTTGCTCCACTACCAAATAGCCTGACAAGATTACATATCTGCTGTCACAAAATGAGATCCACAACTGCCCATTGCGGATTGGAAGCCACCAAGAGGTAAATCAATATTTAGGAACAATCTATCCTTGCCATAGTGTATGGCCATAATTCAGTCTATCTCTTCTGAGTTCTTTAAACACTATGTGCCCAAAGTGTTTCTTGCTCTTTCTGGGTCTCCTCTTGGACAAGAATCCAGCTGTGCTGCTCATTATCCCACTTTCACGTACTGCCGACTCTGGAGAAGACCCAGGAGTTGAACACCTTTTTGAGTCTACCCGGAGTATAATCTGAAGCTACCATGAATGTGTGTGTGCAAGGGGGGCCTGTATTTCTGGATACTTTCAGCTTGATTTCAATTTGCAGATTTAAGAGGCTCCCAAAACTCGTGTATGATATTGAAACAACTTTGAATATTGGACTACAGGCCCAGGTCCACCATTGATTAATAATCCTAAACAATAACTCTGCCCAACGCTTTTCCCCTGGGTATTTTTTAGTAACTCTCACTTAGGTTCCTTGGGTCTCTGTTTCATCATTCATGAACTGATTGTTGCTTTGAAGTTTAAATAATCCAATGTGGGTAAAAGCACTTTGCAACCTGTCAAGGGTTTCTGAAGCTTAAGTTGTTGTTTCTCATGCCCAATGGAACCTACCTCCACATTTGAGGATAAAAACACTAGACTCAGTTCATGCCATTAAATTTGGTGATGATTTCTTGGAAATGATAGTTGAAGCACAGGCAACATCAACAACAAAACAAAACAAATTGGACTATATCAAAAATTTTAAGTTCTATGCATCAACAGACACAATCGATAGTGAAAAGACAACCCACAAAATGGGAGAAAATATTTTCAAATCACGTATCTAATAATGGGTTAATATTCAGAATATTTAAACGCTTACTACCAAAAAACAAAACAACCTGACTTTAAAAATAGACAAAGAACCCATTTTTTTATGTACTTATTGGTTATTTGTATATCTTCTTTGTTCTCAAACGACCAATAAGCACACGAAAAGATGCTTAACATCACTAATCATCAGGGAAATGCAGATCAAAACTACAATGAGATACCATCTCACACCCAATAAGATGGTTACTATTGAAAAACAAAACAACAGAAAAGAAGTATTGGTGAGAATGTAGAGAAATGGAAACCCTTGTGCACTGTTAATGGGAATGTGAAATGATGCAGCCACTAAGGAAAACAGTACAGAGGCTCCTCAAGAAATTAAAAATAGAACTACCACATGGCCCAGCAACTCCACTTCTGGGTATAAACCCCCAAGAATAAAAAGCAGAGTATCAAGAAGATACTTATACACTCATATTCATGGCAGCATTATTCTCAGTAGCCAAAACTGGAAGCAATCCAAGTGTCCATAGATGGATGAATGGCTAAACAAAATGTAGTATCTACATACAAAAATGATTTAGCCTTGAAATGGAAGCAAATTCTGACCTATGCTTCAGCATGGATGAACCTTGAGGCCACTATGCTAACTGAAATAAGTCAATCACAAAAAGACAAGTACTGTGTGATTCCACTTATATGAGCTACCTAGAGTAGTCAAATCCATAGGGACAGAAAGTAGAATATTTGTTGCCGGGGGCTGGAGGGAGGGAATGCGGTGTTGTTGCTTAACAGGTATGGAATTTCAGTTTTGCAAAATGGAAAGTGCTCTGGAGATTGCACAACAATGTGAACATGCTTAACACTATAGCAAGGTACCCTTAAAACTGGTTAAGATGCTAACTTCTCTGTGTTTTTTAACCACAATTAAATGCTTTTCAAAATATCAGAATATGGCAGCTGAAACAAACAATACTTTGTGCAATGTATCTATTTGCCTACCAAAGATAGAGAAGAAAAAAGGCCAGGTGCTGTGGCTCACACCTGTAATCCCAGCACTTTGGGAGGCCAAGGCAGGGGGATCACTTGAGGTCAGGAGTTCGAGACCAGCCTGTCCAACATGGTGAAACCCTGTCTCTACTAAAAATACAAAAATTAGCCAGACATGGTGGCGGGAGGTAATCCTAGCTACTAGGGAGGCTGAAGCAAGAGAATCACTTGAACCCAGGAAGTGGAGGTTGCAGTGAGCCAAGATTGTGCCACTGCAATCCAGCCAGGGCAATAGAGTGAGACTCAGTCTCTAAATAAATAAATAAATAAATAGCACTGAATTAGAGTTTCCAAACCTACCTTGCTTTGCCACTAACTTGGGGCAGAAACAATAATAATTGCTGGCATTTATGGTACACTTACCATGTGCCAGATATCATTTTAAATGTTTTATCTCATTTAATGCTTACAACAGGAAGTACTATCACGTTCCCATTTTAAAGATTAGGGAATTGAAGCAAAATAAAATTAAACAAGCTGCCCAAGGACTTATGGTTAATAAGTGAGTAGCAAAGCCAGGATTCAAACCCCACAGTCTGACTCCAGGGCTGCACTTGTAACCATTGTGCTACCTGCAGAATGGCCAGGAGCGCAGGTCCCACATGGCAATGAACCACTTCCTGTACCACCCACTTCCAAATCCAGTAGCTTCTTCATCCTAGACCTAAAGAAAGTCAAGTTCAGCTATAAACAATACAATCATTTCTTTTAAAACATCACATTCTCTCCAACATACGAAACATCTTAGGATGTATGTTTTCCTTTCACCAATCTTTTCCCTCCACACCCCTTTCTCAGCTCTTTAATCATCTTAGATTGTAAATGTGAAGCATGAGAGTAGAGAACATGAGGGCTGAAGTGGCACCAGTCTGGATGGGACCCCAACTCTATGACTTACTAGCAAGTTACTTATTGCCTCTCAGCCTCAGTTTCATCAACTCTAAAATGAGAATAGGACCTGCATCAACAGGTGGTTTTAAAGATTAAACTGTATAATATCTTAAATGTCTAGCACAGTATTTGACATAGAATGGGCTGTTTGAAGTATAATAACAATTATTGTATAGCAATAATTGGTTGAATATTACTCAACAACTTGAAGCTCTGTCAGGTGAAAATAAAAGGTAGAATTGTTCACTATGGCCAAAACTGAGAATGAAACATGAGATCACCAGGGAGATCCATTTCTACTAAGCAGAAAGCAAACCTTTCTATTAGTCAGAGAAGATCAAGGGCAGACTGGGTTGCCTTTGAAGGTGGTGAGTTCTCTGTAACTATAGCTGTTCAAGCAGATACCACTTAGTGAACATGCTGTATACAGACCCCAACCCTGCCATCCCTGAGAGCCTATGAATTTATGTCAAGATTTATCCGCACCCATACAATGATCTGGTGCCCTCTCCCAGTGTTCTGACTTTCCCTATTCGAGCTGCTATAGGTTTCTCTTCCACATAAACCAGAGGAAGCATTCTAGCTCCAGGTGCTGGTGGACAGGTTGCTTAATTTTAACACAACTGTCATCTGGCCACAAGAATGTGTGGAAGTGACTGCTCTCTTTTGGGACCTGAGTTCATTCCCCAGTGATATTTATGCCAAAATAGAGGAACAGGTTTTCTGTCCACGTAGGTTCTCCAGTGTTCAAAGTCCAACACTTTTTTTTCCCCAACCCCTCCAGAAGACGACAGATGACTTTGATCACGACACCAACACTTACCTGGGTAAGAACCCAGAGGATTTACAGGGCCCATCAACCAGAAGCAGCATTTTCAGATTCAAGGTGAGGTCACATTTAGGACCATTCGTGGAAAGGAGGTGGATCCGCTAGGAGCACAGTTCCTTGGTAACCAAGGGAGAGGAGTGACATTCTGCTTGTAGTCTGGCTTATGAATAATTCCTTTGCTAGAACATTTTGCTATCTCTCTTAGTCTGTGTAAGTTCTGTTCATTCTTCAAGTTTTAGCTGCAAGATCTTTCTAAGAAAGACCCCTTCAGTCCCCTAGAGGAAGCATGGGGAGAGTACAGACTTGGCCCAAGTGCCATCCCACGTGGGCAGCCCCTGGGCGCTGCCAGCAAATTACACTCCTCACAGCGTTTCTCACTTGCAGGGAGATGTGTGCCTCTGCATCTGCACCGCCCTCTGCTGGTCGGTGATGCTGACACAGCGAGGAGTTCCAGGCTTCCAGAATAAAATCAACTGCTCATCACTAAAGAAGACTTGTATTTTATTGGCTTTTAAAACAGGCAGAAAGTATGGTCATGGGTAACAATTTAGTGAAAAGCCTGCACTATAAACCAAGAAGTTCGAATGTCATGTCCTCTGTATCAGTCCATTCTCACACTGCTATAAAGATACTACATGAGACCAGGTAATTGATGAAGAAAAGAGATTTAATTGACTCACACTTCTGCATGGCTGAGGAGGCCTCAGGAAACTTACACTCATGGCGAAAGGTAAAGGGGAAGCAAGGCACATCTTACATGGTGTCGGGAGAGAGACAGAAGAGTGTGGGGGAAACTGCTAAACACTTTTTAGAACCACCAGATGTAAGAATTCACTCACTATCATGAGAACAGCATGGGGGAAACCGCCCCCATAGTCCAATCACTTCCCACTAGGTGCCTCCCTCAACACCTGAGGATTACAATTTGAGATGAGATTTGGGTGGGGACACAGAGCCAAACCATATCATCTCCCTCCACGTTTTTCTTTATACATGCTCTTGGGGTTATACCTCTATATTTCCTTAATATGGTAGTTATCCCTGTCTCTAGTAGATAAGCTGTAAACTGGCTAACTTTCAAAATCAAAAGCTATGATCCCCTCTCTGGATAGTAGTTTTATCTCTGTAGGAAGCACATTTGATCTGCTGGGGGTAATTGTATACCACAAATTTTTCTACCCCTTAACAGTTTTTCCTAAATTGCTGGTCTCACCTAAAAAGGCCCACTGATTATAAAACATGCTGAATTTATGAAATACACTTTAGGGAGGCAAAGACAAGTTGGAAGGCTCCACTCAGGAAGCTAAATATCTTCTGTTTGACTACACTATGGAACTATGTGATTCCCACTTCCAGCTGTGGAATGGGACAGTAGTGGGATAGTGACACGCCTACTAAAGGAGTGGCTTTTGAGAAAGGCCTTGAAAGTGGTGTTTGGTTTTCTATTGCTACATAACAAACCACCACAAAACCGGGTGGTCTAAAACAACAGTCCTTTTTCCCTCACTATTCTGTGGTTTCAATGGGCTCAGCAGGACACCACTTGTGTTCCCTGGTATGCTGGCCAGGAGCTCAGTTAGGCCTGACTGTCCAACATGGTTCAGCTACATATCTAGCACTTACATGAAAATAGCATAAAGGCTGAGCCAGGATGCTGACAGAGCTAGAATAGCTGGTTGGCTTGGGTTCCTAGATATGAAAGCACCCAGGCCTTCTAGGTGTAGGGACAGCTTCATGTCTGCAATATTTAATTAAAGTGAGTCACAGGGCCAGCACAGATTCACTGTAGAACAGGACTTCCAAGTGGGATGAATCCTGGGGTGGGTGGTTAATTTGGAACTGCCTTTGGAGACCAGTTACAACACAGGTAAGAAAAAGATGCTGAGATGTAGGAGGATTAGCACAGCCTAAAGCATGAATAAAAGCATGAAGCTGATAAAATACAAGAATACAGGCTAGTGAAAAGTGTAGAGTTTGTAACTTCTGGTTCCAAAATGGTGGCATAGAAGCAAGTTAGTTTTACCTCCCATTGTCCTAGAAAACCAGAAAAAAAAATACAGCACCAAGATTATCACCAGTAATGTCCCAGAACTCAAATATGAGGAGAAGATAGTTCCCAGAGCCACAGAGAGATGCTCAGAAAAAGCTCTGAGCAGACAGTAAGAGAATCAGATATCCATATCAGCAATGTTGCTCCCTGAAATCTGCTCAACACCAAGTATGTGAAAAGTTTCTCCTCAAATCACAGTTTCTGCACTGTAAAAGTGAGATCAAGGTTGACAAACAGCTTCCCCATCATCTTGGGTTTCCTGATAGGAAACAGGTCTCTGCCTCAACCCAAGAGAATCATTGGAAATGCCTAAAGGAAAACATATCTCAGAGGACAGCCAGAGACAAATGGGGGAGGTGAGACTATCATCTCCGGCCCTGGAAACTCTGTTCTGTAAGTCAGCCAAAGGAGATGCCAAATCAGAGTGGCTGCTCAGCAGCACCATGCTATAGGAGGTTTGTTCCACAGGTCTTCTGGGCACAAACGCCTATCTGGCCTTCCCCCATTATCCCCTTTGAGGCCACCGCATTCCAGACAGGAGGCACTCTGATTGTTTAGAGGCAGACCTAGGCTTAAGCTGTCATCTAGAGCTGAAAAGGAGACAACAACCTAGCAGAAAAGAAAGAAAGAGAGAGAAAGAAAACAAAAGAATGAAAGAAAGAAGAAAAGAAAAGACAATCAACAGGTAAATTACAAAGAATCTCTAAACATACATATATAGTAAAAGACAAAACAAGCCAAACAGAGAAGACTGAAATAAATAAATAATCTTTTAATGCAAAGACATAGATATACATCCACAAGAAACAACATCTAACAGAACTATGACCTCCCCAAACAGACAAAGCAAAACACAAGTGACTAACCCTAATGAGATGAGGATATGTGAACTCTGATGAACAATTCAAAATAGCAGTTTCAAGGAAACTCAGAGATCTCCAAGATAACACAAAAAATAATTTAGAAATTTATCAGAGAAATTTAACAAGATCAAAATAATTTTAAAAGACCAAATCTAAGAATTATTGGAGTTTAAAAGGGAATTCAATAAGAGGTAGAAAGCATATTCAAAGAAATAATAACAAAAAGATGATGTTCTAAAACTTAAAAAAAAGATATAAATATCCAGGTATAAGAAGATCAGAGAAACAAACAGATTCAATCCAAGTAAGACTACACCAAGACATATAATAGTAAAACTCTCAAAGATCAAAGAGAGAGGGGATCCTAAAAGCAGCAAGAGAAAAGATCCAAATGTCATACAAAAGAACTCCAATTCATCTGGCAACAGATTTCTCAAAGAAAAGAAGGACTAAAGAGAGTAGTATATTTTCAAAGTCTTGAAAGAAAAAAACCTATAATCCAAGAATACTGTATCCAAAATAGCTATCTTTCAAATATGAAGACATGAAGTTTTCCCTGGACAAACAAAAGCTGAGATAATTCACCACCACCAGACCTGTCTTGCAAGAAATCCCAACTGGAGGTCTTCAATCAGAAATAGAAAAAGAAAAAACACTAACATACAAAAAGAAAATATTTGAAGGTATAGAACCCATTGCTGGCCAGGCATGGTGGCTCATGCCTGTATTCCCAGCACTTTGGAAGGCTAAAGGGGGTGAATTGCTTGAGAAGAGGAGTTTGAGACCAGTCTGGTCAACATGGCAAAACCCTGTCTCTACTAAAACACAAAAATTAGCTGAGCATGGTGGCAGGTGACTGTAATCCCAGCTACTTGGGAGGCTGAGGCAGCAGAATCACTTGAACCGAGGAGGTGGAGGTTGCAGTGAGCTGGGATTGCACCACTACACTCCAGCCTGGGTGACAGAGCAAGTCTCTATCTCAAAAAAAGAAAAAAAAAAAAAAAGAACTCACAGCTAAAAATAAGTATGTAAACAAACCCAGAATACTCTCCTACTGTAACTGTGGTGTGTAATACACTCATAAGTCTAATATGAAGCCAAAAGACAAATCTATCAAAAACAGTAATAGTTATTGATATAGCTAACATTGTTAACCAGTTAAGAGATGGAAAACAAAAAAAAACATGTAAACTGAGACAACACAAAGTCAAAATGTGGTGGCAATGGAGTTAAAGTGTAAAGGTTTTCTTTCACTTTTTATTTGTTTTTTTTTTCCTGGTAATCTAAAATAAGTTGTCATCTCTTCAAAATACTTTTTTAAAAAAGGGAGTCTTGCTCTGTCACCCAGGCTGGATTGCAATGGCATAATCATAGCTCACCACAGTCTTAACCTCTTGGGCTCAAGCAATTCTCCTGCCTCACACTCCCAAATAGCTGGGACTACATGCACATGCCACCATGCCTGGCTAATTAAAAAAAATTACAGAGACAATGTCTCACAGGGGTCACTTTGCTGGCCAGGCTGGTCTTAAACTCCTGGCTTCAAGCAGTCCTCTTGTTTTGGCCTCCCAAAGTGCTGGGATTACAGGTGTGAGTGACTATGTCCAGCCCAAAATAACTTGTTATATCTATCTATAAGACATTCTTTGTGAGCCTCATGTAACCACATGCAAATACCTATAATAAATTTACTAAAAATAGAAAGCAACAAATTAAAACATACAACCAGAGAAAATCACTTACTCACAAAGGAAAGCAATAAAGAAAGAAAACAGGAAGAGAGGAGTCTCAAAACAACCAGAAAAGAAACCTGAAAAAAGGCCATAGAAAGTCCTTACTTATCAATAATAACATTAAATGTAAATGGGCTCAATTCTCCAATTAAAAGGCAGACTGTAGCTAAATGAATAAAGAAATAGAACCAACTATATGCTGCCTACAAGAAACCCACATCACCTATAAAGACTCACATAGACTAAAAGTGAAGGAGTGGAAAAAGATATTTCATGCATCTGGAAACCAAAAAAGAATATGAGTAGCTATATGTATGTCAGATAAAATAGACTGCAAGTCAAAGACTAATAAGAGACAAAGAAGACCACTATATAATGATAAACAGGTCAACCCAGCAAGAGAATATAACAATTATAAATATGTATGCACTCAACATAGGCACTCATGACTATTTAAATCAAACACTAATAATTCTAAAATAAGAGATAAGTGGCAATACAATAATAGTAGTGGAGTTTAACACCCCACTCTCAGTAATGTACAGATCACCCAAAGAGAAAATCAACAAATAATCAATGAAGTTAAAGTGCATACTAGACCAAATAGGTAGGCCTGATATTTACAGAACATTTCACCCAAATGCTGCAAAATGCACATTATTATCATCAGCACATGCAGCATTCTCTAGGATAGGCCATATCTGAAGCCACAAAATAAGTATCAACAAATTAAAAAATGTAGAAATCATACAAAATATCTTTTCTGACCACAATGAGATAACACTAGAATCAATAACAAGAGAAACCTTGAAGAATTCACAAACACATGGAAATTAAACATATTCCTGAATAACAAATAGGTCAATAAAAACATTAAGAAAGAAATTTTAAAATATCTTTAAACAAATGAAAATAGAAACACAACATACCCAAATCTATGGGATACAGCAAAAGCAGTACTAAGAGGGAATTTTATAGCAACAAATATCTACAACAAAAAATAGAAAGAATTCAAATAAACAATCTAATAATGAACCTCAAGAAACTAGAAAAGCAAGAACAAATGAAACCCAAAATTAGCAGAAGGAAAGAAATAATAAAAATCGGAGTAGAAATAAATAAAATTGAAACTAAATAAATCCAGATGATTAATGAAACAGAGAGTAGGTTTTTTGAAAAGGTAAACAAAATAAACAAACCTTTAGCTATACTAACCAAGAAAAAAGAAAGAAGACCCCCAATAAAGAAAATCAAACATAAAAAGGAGACATAACCACTGAGACCACAGAAATACAAAAAAAAAATCATTACAGACTATTATGAACAAATACACATCAAAACTTTGGCACACCTAAAATAAATGGATAGATTCATGGATGCATACACCTACCAAGACTGAATCATGAAGAAATGGAAAACCTAAACTTACCAACAAGTAACAAGCAACAAGGTCAAAGCCATAATAAAAAGTCTCCCATCAAAGAAAAGTCCAGGACCTAGTATCTTCACTGCTGCATTCTACCAAACATTTAAAGAAAGGTAATACCCATTTCACTCAAACTATTCAAAAAATTACAGATAAAAGAATACTTCCGAACTCATTCTATGAGACCAGCATTACCTTGATACCAAAATCAGACAAGAACACAACAAAAAGACCACTGCAGGCCAACATCTCTCATGAATTTAGATATGAAAAAATACCAGCAAACCAAATTCAACAACACATTTAAAAGACCATTCCCAACTCAAATTGGAAAAAAAAAATGGCAGATAGGAGGCAGGAATAACTTGTAGCTCCCACTTAGACAGACAGAACAGCATGTGGAAACTCACATTGTGAACAGTTGCTTCAAGAACTACCACAGAAGCATAGTAGAAAAACCAAAAGAATTCACTGACCCTTTGAAAGAAGAAGCTTGCTGCTGCAAACACCATGAGACAGCTGAAAAATTGTGAATGCCCAGAGTGTGAGAGGGGGAGAGTCTACCTCTGAACACATATCCTCACTGGGGAACCTGAAAATCCAGATCGTGGAAGAAGAGTTTAACTTTATCTAGTGCTGAAACAAATTTAGAGAGCCAAGTGAAATATCAAAGTAGAAGAAGCAGCGGAAAGAGCTGTATACACACTCCTGACCCCCAAGGAAACCCAGGGAAGCCATTTCTGACTTTATCTTACAGGGGTCCTTGGGGACGGCTGCCAGTGGAATTGGGGAAGAACCACAGTGAGAAGGAAACTTCCAGCTGAACTTTGAAATAATTTCAGCCGAACATGAATTTTCCTGGGCAGAATCTAGGGGATAGGGGGTGAATAGGAAGTGCAGATATGAGTACAGAAGCCACAGCAGGTGGGAAGGGGTAAAGCATGAAAGCCACATCTGCTTTCTCAGTGGGGAGGCTTGTAGCCTGGGGCAAGATCTCAGCCATGCTCACCGGCTGCCTGGATATAAACTTGGTGCTCTTGGTAGGGCATGGTGGGAGTGAGACTGGCCTTTTTGGCTGCATGTAAGCAGTGTGAGGCCTGTCACTGCTGGCTTTCCCCCATTTCCCTGGTGACCTGTATGATGCAGCAGAGGCAGCCATAATCCCCCTGGGAACATAACCCCATTGGCCTGAGAACCACACCTTCATCCCCCACAGCAGCTGCAGCAATCCCCAGCCAAAGAGAGTCTGAGCTCAGACAGGCCTAACACTGCCCCCACCTGATGGTCTTTCACTAACCACTATGGTAGCTAAAGACAAAAGTCATAATCTTTTGGGAGCTCTGTGGCCCCACCCATCACCCAAGAAATCTGAATACCTTAGGGCAAGCTTGTATTCTCTCTATACCACTGCAGCTGAAGCTCTCTTGAAAGCACCACCTCCTGGTTGGAGGCCAACAAACTCAAGCCATTACAGAAACTCAAAAAAGAACAACCCTGCTCTAAGAAAGGAGAAAACAACAGCTAATTCTATCACCTGTAACATCCTGGCTAACCAGAGGTCCTGAGTCTGTCCATGTGACAACTTCACTGCTACATTAACTAGCATTTCAAACAAACAGTGCACTAAATAAAACTATAATCAAGGTCCCACACAGAGTCCACCTCGCTCCCCAGCTACCTCCACCAGAGCAGGTGCTGGTATCCACAGCTGAGAGACCTGAAGACAGATCACATCACAGGACAAGTTGCAGACACTCCCCAGTACCAGCATGAAGCCCAGTAGCTCTTCTAGGTGGCTAGGTCCAGAATAACAATAACAATCACTGCAGTCCACCTCTCAGGAAGCCCCATCCCTAGTGGAAGGGCTTCAAGGGATCACCCCCTTGGGACAAAAGAATCTGAAGAGTATCCTTGAGCCCCATAGCATTCCTCTGACACAGTCTACCAAAATAAGAAGGAATCAGAAAAACAATTCTGGTAATATGAAAAAGCAAAGTACTTTAACACCCCCAAAATATAACACTAGCACACCAGCAATGGATCCAAACCAAGAAGAAATCTCTGAATTGCCAGAAAAAGAAATCAGAACATTGATTATTAAGCTAATCAAGGAGGCACCAGAGAAAGAAGAAATTTCTAAGCAGCAAAGCATTCAAGAGGTGACTTGGGTATTCTTAAAAGCATTGAGTTTTATTCATTCACAGAGACATGGTTTGAAATTGAAACTTGTGTCTTAAAGGGAAGCTGAGCATAAAAGTTTGGGAAATTTACAGCCTGACAATGTGATAGAAAAGAAAAACTCATTTTCTGAGGAGAAATTCAAGCTGGCTGCAGAAATTTGCAAATTTGCATAAGTATCAAGGATCCAAATGTTAATTGCCAAGACAATGGGGAAAATGCCTCCAGGGTATGTCAGAAGTCTTCATGGCAGCCCCTCCCATCACAGGCCTGGAGAGCTAGGAGGAAAAAATGGTCTTGTGTGCTAAGCCCTGGGCCTTTCTGCTTTGTACAGTCTCAGGACTTGGTGCTCTGTGTCCCATCTGTGGCTAAAAAAACCAATGTACAGCTCTGGCCATTGCTTCAGAGGGTGCAAGCCCCAAGCCTTGGTAGCTTACATATGGTGTTGGCCCTGTGGGTGCACAGAAGTTAAAAACTGAGGTTTGGGAACCTCTCCCTAGATTTCAGAGGATGTATGAAAATGCCTGGATGTCCAGGCAGAGGTGTGCTACAGGGGCAGAGCCCTCATGGAGAACCTCTACTGGGGCAGTGCAGAATGTAAATGTGGGGTTGGAGGCCCCACACAGAGTCTCTACTGGAGTACTGCCTAGTAGACCTGTGAGAAGAGGACCACCATCCTTCTCCAGATCCCAGAATGGTAGATCCACTAACAGCTTGCGCTGTGCACCTGGAAAAGCTGCAGACACTCCATGCCAGCCTGTAAAAGCAGCCAGGATCAGGGGCTATACCCTGCAAAACCACAGAGGTGGAGCTGCCCAAGACCATGGGAGCCTATTTCTTACATCAGTGCAACCTGGATGTGAGACATGTAGTCAAAGGAGATCATTTTGGAACTTCAATGACTCTCCTATTGGATTTCAAAATTGCATGAGGCCTGTGGCCCCTTTGTTTTGTCCAGTTTCTCCCATTTGGAATGGGTGTATTTACCCAATGCCTGTACCCCACTGTATCTGGAAAGTAACTGACTTGCTTTTGATTTTACAGGCTCATAAGTGGAAGGGACTTGCCTTGTCTCAGATGAGACTGGATTGTGGACTTTTGAGTCAATGCTGAAATGAGTTAAGACTTCGGGGGACTGTTGAGAAGGCATGATTGGTTTTGAAATGTGAGGACATGAGATTTGGAAGGGGTCAGCAGTGGAATGATATGGTTTGGCTGTGTCCCCACCCAAGTCTCATCTTGAATTGTAGTTCCCATAATCCCCATGTGTCATGGGAGGGACCCAGTGAGAAGTAACTAAATTATGGGGTCAGGTTTTTCCTGTGCTGTTCTCATGATAGTGAATAAGTCTCATGATAGTGAATAAGCCAGCTTGAATTTCTCCCCAGCCACATGGAACTGTGAGTCTATTAAGCCCCTTTTTCTTTATAAATTACCCAGTCTCTGGTATTTCTTCATAGCAGTATGAAAATGGACTAATACAGTAAATTGGTACTGGTAAAGTGGAGTACTGCTATTAAGATACCCAAAAATGTGAAAGCAACTTTGGAACTGGGTAACAGGAAGAGATTGAAACAGTTTGGAGAGCTCAGAAGAAGATAGGAAGATGTGGGAAAGTTTGGAACTTCCTAGAGGCTTGTTGAATGATTTTGACCAAAATGCTGATAGTGATATAAACAACAAAGTCCAGGCTGAGACGGTCTCAGATGGAAATGAGGAACTTACTGGGAATTGGAACAAAGGTGATTCTTGCTGTGCTTTAGCAAAGAGACTGGCAGCATTTTGCTCCTGCCCTAGAGATCCGTGCTATTCACAATAGCAAAAATATGGAATCAACCTAAGTTCCCATCAATGGATGAATGGATAAAGAAAATGTGGTATATATATATATATATATATATATATATATATATATATATATATAGAATGGAATATTATTCATCTATGAAAAAGAATAAAATTCTGTCATTTGCAGCCACACGAATGGAACTAGAGGTCATTATGTTAAGTGAAATAAGTCAAACATAGAAAGATAAATACCACATATTCTTATTCATATGTGGGAGCTAAAAAAAGTGGATCTCATGATGATAGGGAGTGGATTGGTGTTTAGCAGATGTTGGGAAGACAAGCAGGGAGGGAAAATGAAGAGAGGTTGATTAATGGGTACAAATATACAGTTTGATAGAAGAAATAAGACCCAGTGCTTGATACATCAGAGAGGTGACTATACAATAATATATTCTTTATTTCAAAATAGTGAGAAAAGAATAATTCAAATGTTTCTAGCATAAATAAATGTTTAAGGTAATGGATATCCCAATTGCACCAATTTGATCTTCAAAGCTTATTTGAATATATGAAGTTATCACACACACAAAGCATCAGTAAAAAATAAGATTAGAAAACAAAAAATAAATATAGTGTAGGTTTTGAAAGCATAAAGTGTAATAAAGAGAGGGAAAAGAGATTAATTGGACATTTGATTTGAAACCAAGGCAACAGTCAGACTGCTGGCGACCTTGAACATTAAACTCAAGAATTAGGACTTAATTTTGTCAAGGAATTCTCAAATCTAACTGTGCTACAAAATTTTCTAGGGACTGTCAAATGCCATTTCCGCAAATATCATCAATACAAACTGTTGATGAGATAGGGAAAACACCATTTCAGCAGAGATTTGGCAGTATCTCAGAAAGCAAGGTTAGAATTTATTGAGAATTTAAGTTTCATTTAAGCCACTTCCCTCCGTGGAGAGAGTGGGGAGGTCTTGATTTGAAAAGGGCAAAAATCACAACATGGAAGTTTAAGATTGGTGGGAAAAGCAAGGCAAGGCAAGAGATTCAAAGGTAAAAACTGTTGATACTTTTCATTGAAGAGTTGATGGATATTTTGGGAAATTCCTATAATGAATAATCGAGCCATTTTTCCATGTAACGGTCACTGGAATGGTAAAGTTATGCTAGTGAAGACAGTGTTATAGTAATGTCACGTTGATGTAGAAGCTCTGTAGGGCGTAGATAGTTTTAGTTCTCAGAACTCGTCTTCTAAAGTTCCATACATTGAAACCCAAAACCTCTATTTTTAACAGGCTTAATTGGGAGCCAATGCTATAAACAACGAGCCACTGCAGGTTTTTGTCTCAGAGTTTGCCATGATCCCAGCTGTCCTTCAGGAGATGGGAATACTTGTTGGAAGGTTGCAGAAATTACCTAGAGAACATATAACGATGGTATGAATTATGAGTCTCGAGGACATGGTTAATTTAGTGATGCTAGTCATGGCTTTTCTCTGTCTCTGTCTCTGTCTCTCCCTGCTAGTTCTCTGCATCTCTTTCATGAGTCTGGGTCTTCTCCACGCTAAATACTGAGAGTATATATATCCATTGTCAAGTGAGGCAGACCCATGAGAAATCCTTAAGAAAAAGTATCTCAAGAAAGACAGGAAGACTGCAGGAAGCAAGGGATTGCCAGGTGCCTAGTAGTTTCTTTAAACCTACAAGTTTATTGTTCAGGTGATCTTCTCCTGTGTATGTTGGGGTAGAGATGAGGTGCACAAGGAGAGAATAGAAGTTATTTGGAGATTTAACTCAGAATTGCCCTCAGATTGAATCGAGGATGAGAAAGGTCTCAAGACCCTATATGGGATTGAGAACTAAAATTTAAACCTTAAGCACCCACCCCAACCAATTGAACAGACTCTCTCTTGGCCAAGGAGACCTCAGAGAAACCTTAAAAATGGAGTTCCTGGCCATAAGGAGACAAGAGATCACACAAGCCTCGTTATATCCTCTCCCTTTTGTATACAGACACACCAACTGACCAGCATGAATGTTAAAATAGAGATCATATGACTGACAGAACAGACTCTTTGTGGCAGTAAGATATCCAATTATAAACAGGACCTACGCCCATGTCAGGCAAAGGTTAAGTCACGCACCCCTACACTTAAAGAATAAACTTTGTTTTAACTGCCACAAGGTTTTTCTTTCTTAAGCAGCTCAACAAGCACTGGCCTCAAGGAAAGCAATATTAAAATAACTGCAGCTCATTCACCACCATGTGCTGACTAACCGACCTCCTGTTCCACAAGCCATAACTACAGCTTTGATTAGACAAGAAAGAGATTTCAGTAACTTTCCTGGTAAAAGACCACCGACTATGGACTGGTTCTGGTCGGTTTTATAGAGGCTTTGCACTTGAGAACATTTATGTCCCTGTTTTATCTTCTGAAATATAGACAGCCTCATTGTAATAAATTTAAATGTTAAGTACCCTCTCCAATATGAACATAGATCATTTGTAGCATGCATGTTTATTCAGTATGCATGCATCAGAAACCACTTGGTGAATATTCATAGCTTCTCCTGTAACCTGTTGAATATGTATATTTAGCCAACCTATGTAGCATAAAGCTCCTGCCTCAACCCCTCCTTCTTCAAAGTACTGCCTTTCGGTCTCTGTTGAAGGTACACTTCTCAGCCTGTCAGGATGACCATTGGCAGGCTATAACCCTTTATGAGAAATAAAGTCCTGTGTCCAAATCTGCATAGATCTCATGATTTTTCTGTTGGCAAAATTCAGGATCCCTGGGCTACCCCTGACATTAAATTATAAGCCCACTAGACTAAAAGTCCCTCAGACCCCTCAGCCTATCTGTCCCTTAATTAGTATAATCATGGTTAAGTTACTTTTTGTGCCTCTCCTCCTCACATTCACAGATGTTTACAGGAAAAAAAAAAAAAAAGTCAAGGAGATTAAGTCACTTGCCCAGGGTCTGAGAGCCACTAAGCGCAGAGCCATATCTCGAGTCCAGTTCTGTTGAACTCCAATAAACATCTCCTTTCTATTTCCTTCATTTTCTATTATTGCCTCTTCTCCTTTCACAGGGCTCTGATTGTAAAAATATATAGGCAGATAACACTGCAGTTGATAACATTACACTTCTATTGAAAGAAGTTTTTCTTCCTTTGCGATATTATTTCAGATCACTTTGCATCCTCATTTATTCATTCATGGATTCCTTCCCAGCCATCCGTGGAGAGATATGTAGGGTGTGAAATGAGACTCCTACATGCAGGGCCAATATTTAGCCAGTAACCTCAGGAAGGTCATTTGCAGCCAATGTTAGTTCTGATTGGCTGGGGCTGCAACTTGCAGAGTAGTAAATATTTTGACTATTGCCCTTGACTATCTGCCAGAATAATTGTCTGCATTTGTATCCCCTATGGTGCTCAATTAGAATGCACACAGCCCAAGAGAGTGAGGCAGGGTAGGAGGCGGTCTGAGTCTGGAAATACAGGCAAGAGACACAGGGTCAGGGCCATCTCTGCTCCAATCTGTCTTTGTGTGACCTTGTGCACATCACTTCTTTTCTCTGGGAATCAGCTTCTCCATAGGCAAAAGTATATATGGCCTGGCACTATTATATTTTTGTAAAAGAAAGTAGTATGTGCCTATGTGCCTGGGTCCATGTGTGCACACATAGAAACATGTCTGGAAGGTGACACACCTCCTATTTACAGTGGTTATCTCTGGGAAGCACAGCTGGATGAAGAAGGTATTTTTTACCTTATATAACCTCTTTACACTTTTAATTTTCCATAACAAGCATGTGTTGTAATTTTTTTAAGTTAACAGCTAAAAAGTCCTGTTTGTTCCTGTTTTACAGGAAGTCACACTTCTTTTCTAAGGTCACATGAGGACTTGGCATCTGACTCTGAAGACTGTCTTGCCTGCATCGTCCTTACACTGCCTCTGAACAATTGGGGGATGTGAGTACTGGGCACCAAATGATGCCTCCTAATCTCCCAGCTCAGCAAATGCTGCCCAGGGCTGAAAACAAAACATCCTCAGAGAGTTTTCCTTGCCCTCCTCCTGTTGGTATCTTGTCCTTGTCAGCAAATGATTCACCACCATTCAGCCAAAGCATGATTATTTTCACTTGTATCTACAGCTATGAAATGCCCACAGACTGGTGCCAGGTTCTGGGAAAGAGATATAACCAAACATGCTGAATTCCCAGACTCCTTTGAATTTATAATGCCATGAAGCACTTGTTCCCAGGTCAGGAGGCTAGGGGACTGAGCAGCATGATTACTTATCCCTGTCCTGGGAAGAAACAAGAGGGAAAAAAGATTTGTTTCCCAGAAGACAGCCATCTCTCCAGCAAATAATCCAGTCCCAGGTTCCCTTATGATAAATCAATCACACTTTTTAATAAAAGAATGCAAACATAGAGATTGGAAAGAAGCATTACATTGAAAGAGCACTAGGCTTTGGATTCAGACAAACCTGGATGCAAACCCAGACCTTGAACAAGCCATTTAACCCACTTCCCTAAAAGAACACCTTATTTTGTGCCAGGCACTCTGCTGGGCATTTTATATCCAACAGCTCAAGCTTGAAGAGGTTATTATTGTTCTCATTCTGTAACAGATGAAGGAAGTGGGACTCAGGGAAGAAAGCCGTGAGAGTGGGAGGGCTCAGCTGATGAAATGACAAAACCCAGATTTCAATTCAGGTCTTGAGAAGCACCCATTCCTCTGGCCAGTGCTGCCTCTCCCCATACAGGGTGGAGAGAAAAGACTTCTGCTCCAAGCACACTGTTAGAACCAGCTGGAACCAGGAGCAATCCCATGCTCCTTTCCGTGAGCCTTCTTTAATTGCAAATGCCCTAAGAGGGATAAAAAATCAAGACACTGATACTGAATAGAAAGGAGAAACACCACACATAGATCAGTGAATGGAAATTGTGCTTTGGCATCAAAGAACCTGGATTCAGATGCTAGCTCTGTTGTGTACTGTGACCTTAGGCATTTTACCTGACTTCTGTGGGTCTTAGTTTGCAAATGTGCAAAAGTAGAATGGTGAGAGGGTAAATGAGATTATAAAGCACATATTTCAGAGGCTCATTTAGAGCAGTAGCTAGTCTCAGAAAAAGGAGGAGCCCCTAGAGGGTTCCAATGATGAGGCCTGCGAGGATGCTGGGGTTTCAAGGCTGCAAGCAGGCACTGAACATGTCCGTGCAGGGGGAACTGCTGGACAGCGGCTAGAAAAACCTAAGTAATGCAGAGCTCGGGCTGGCATTGCAGCAAGTAACCACCTCTTTCCAGACCATGTGCACATGGTGCCAGGAGGGATAGGGTCATAGAAACCCAGGCAGAGCTTGTTGACCACTGGCTCAACTACACCAAAGCCTGGGCGGCTCCATCAGTGCTAAGCTCCGCTTCCTCCCCAGCCTTAATGGTAAGTTCTCAGCCAAGTGCCAGAACGTCAAGGCGTACAACCCGGGGTTCCATCAGGTTGTAGGTCACAGCCAGAGTGCAGGTCCACCACAGCATCTACTCTCTGAAGGTCCCAGAAACCCCTGATATTCAGCCCTGCTTCTCGCAGCATGTGCGGACCCTCAGCAACCACCTGGAGAACCACCCAGACCCAGGAGGCCAAGTACCTGGCAGAGATGCTTGTGCTCAGGTATGGCAAGCATGTCCTCACCCACGTGGAGGCAAATACTCGTCACTGGCAAGTTTTTTGTGCCTCAGCTTGGTCCTCTTTAAAATGGAGTTAGTGTGTCAAATTCCTAGGTTACTTGAGAGGATTAAATGAGCTAATGGAAGCAAAGCACTTTGGAACACTCTCTGGCCTTTCTAAATGTGAAAGTTCATATCTATGACGATTTGCTGCTGCTTTAGGATTGAGATCCCAGAGTCAGATCACACAGACCGAGGCTCAAGTCCCAGCACTGCTGCTTACTGGCTCAGTGACCCTGGGCAAATTGTCCCACCACTCTGGGAATTAATCTCTTCTCTAAAGTTGGGATAATATTAAAATTGATGTCATAAAATTACTGTGATGATTAAATGAGATACTGCAAGGAAACCCTTCCCCATAGTACCTGGCCTGTCACCTTGAGCTGTCATGATGTGGAATTGACCATGATGATCATTCTGATGGTGATGTGAGGACGTGAGTGGCAGAGTTCTATGTACCATGAAGAACATAAAGATGTCCAACCAGGGCTCATGGTTGAGTGGGGCAGATACACCTAATATATAAATTACTCATTGTGAAATGTGATACAGCTTCAAACATTTTCTATGGGAAAATGAAGGAGGGATACAAATTCTGAGAGATGTCTGATAAGGCTTCTGGAAGAGGATGGAATTTCTGCTGCATCTTGAAGATTAGATGTGAGAAAGAAAAGAAGGACTTCCCAGAAAGAAACAGAGTTTGATCCAGGGCTGGGAGCAGGAGCACCAGACTCCTTCTGGCCTCAGCCAGACACACATAGATTTGTTCAATTCTGCTGGCCTGGGAGAATCCTTTCAACAGCAACTGGAAGCTCCATTATGATGGCCTCAGTTCATTTCTTTGAAAATATCCCCAGGCTCCGGAAACTGAGCTCCCTGACTGAGAAAGGTGAGGTGGGGGCCAAGGCAGAATAGGTTTTGGCCTGAGGTTTAAAAAGAAAGGTGGGAGAGAAGAGAGAATGGATTATCTTATAAGTAGAGTAGTCATATAATTTATCATCCAAATCTGAACTCCGGTTGAAACCAAAAAAAAAAAAAGGTGTTTTAATTATATGGGACAATGCTCATAAACTGGAACGTATGACATCCACCTTGATATGACTGTTTGTCATTGGGCCCTGACCTCCCTTGTCATCCTGATCTCTAGCTAGCCTTCAGATTCCCCCTCCCATGACACACTCCCAATATGTTCCACACACTGATCCCCTGATGTGTCATGGTGATTCCTGGCTGTGCCTTTGCCTGATGAAGTCTAACTCATTAATCAAGACTGGGTTCAGATGTCAGCTCCCTTGAGAATATGTCTTTACCTGCCCCTCCTTCTCACACACACATACTCCTTCAATCTCCCAGGAAGAAAGCATCTCTTACTCCTCTTGACGACCACCCAACCTTAGCAGTATGTTTATATGAGCATGTCACTTGGCATGAGTTCTTTTTCCAATTTGACTAAGAGCTCTTTTAGTGTGGGGAGGGTTGGTGTTGTCCTTATTGTAGTTACTGCCAGGGCTCAGCCTCAGAGCATCAGACAGAACTCTGAGATAGGTGCTGTAAATTTTAGAGGTATGTGCTCTAAAAGTTAGCTGAATGAATGAGAGAAAACCAGAAAGAGGTCTTATGAAGCCTCAGGTGATAGGAACCAGCTATTGGATTCTTTTAAATGACCTGCCCCTCTTGGATTCTTAAGTGTATTATTATTTCATTCATAAACCCGTTTTGAGCCCCATTTTTGTCCATTGTAAGTGCTATCATAAATACAAAGATGAATAAAACTTAGTTTTCACTGCCTCAAAATATTCTAGGCAAGTTGACCAAAAAATAGTAAACAACAGAGAAGGCAAAGGGGGAGGTGGTAGCATGTGTAACCATATGGTCTCCAAGTTCCTTTTAGAACCCTGGGTCACCGGGTGGAGGGGCTGCAGTAATTCCACCCCAGCTGATGATAGCATGGTGACTGCTGGGCTACTGGCCCAGAGTTGTTCCTTGGACGTTACACATTGTCTTCTCCGGAGCAAGCTCCTCTTGGACAATTAGGTTGTTGCCCCCTATTGGATACTGTAAGTTATGTAAAATGAAGAGGTCTTCTGCCTTATTTTGACTTCTAGAAAGCTTAGAACCAAATTCTGGTCATTTCCACAACATTTCTGTTGCTAAACTCAATCTTAGTTCCAACTTTTCTTTTTTGTCCTCATATTCCCTCTTGAATAACTCATTTTTCAAATTTGTATATGATATGTATTTACAAAAAAAACTATATGTTCTTTTTTAAAAATAAAAAGAAATGAGTACAGAGCTGAGTAGCTGTGGAGGAAGACCTAGTAAACCTCTGAAACCCACCTTCTAGGCCCACTCCTCATTTCAGCCCCAGTCTCACTCCTTTAGCCTTGCTCTTGGTCCAAATTCCATCCTGCCTGGTGATAGTTCTCGTTACCTCATAGAGATGGGCTGTCATAAACCAGATATTCTTCAGTTCCTAAAAAATTTGACAATGAAAAATAAATTTAAACTTAATTTCAAAACTATGTTGAGACTAATTTTTTTAAACCAAGTGTGTGTGTGTGGAGGTGTGCAAGTAAAAGTGGGGTGTGTATGTTGTAAAAAGAATATGTTGCAGCATTGAAAGGCTGGGAATCACTAAGTTGTAGGTAAACAGATCGGCAAGGTTAGGGGCTCAAAAATCAGACGGAGTTCAAGGAGTATCTGCTGAGCTTCATGGTTTGGGAGTCTGGGGTTGGGAAAGTATGAAGTAGGGAAGAAAGAAAGATCTTCTTTCCTTTCATTTAACTTATTTATTCATTCATTCATTCTTAAGAAGGATTGTGCTGTGAATAAAATGCACTGAAGGAGAAAATATAGGGGAAAAAAAGTCTTTGTGACCTTGGGTTAGGCAAAGATTTTTAAACATGACATCAAACGCACAACTGTAAAAGAACAAACTAATAAATTGGACATCATCCACATTTTAAAAATCAGACTAAGAGGAGGAGAACCCAAAGGCTCTGAAGCACAATATTCATCTAAAACTGAGGTCAGCAAACAAGACCCACAGGACAGGCACGTGTTTTTGTAAATAAAGTTGTTTTTGGAATACACCCACACTCATTTGTTTATGTATTATCTATTGCCTATGAACAGCTGTGACAGAGACCTTATACCTCACAAGACTAAAACATTTACTTTCTAGCCCTTTAAGAAATAGCTTACTAACGCCTAATATAAAGCACAGAATGCCCAACAGATGCCCAGGATATATTGATCCCTTCAACACTACAGTAACCCAAGTGGTTAACTGAACTTGCTACAGATACTATACCTATGATGGTCCGTTTTCTCCAGCCTAGAGCAGCTTTCTCCTAGAATCTAGATCCCCCAATTTGTCCCAGTGTGCCATAAAAACATCATCATTTCTATGAAAAAGGTTGATAGGCATTGGTATGAAACAGTAATTCTCCCATTGCACACCACCTTGCATTCTTTCCCTCACTATCTCTACCTGCCTTCCTCCTCTTAATCAGGTAACATTTGGTGAGCACTTATCATATGCCAGAGAATACATAGCCTCTGCCTTCAAAGAGCCCATACTCCACCAGGAGAGAGCTATATACACAAATAATTAATATGCAATGTGTTATGTAATATAATAGTTATACAAAGAAAAAGTATTCCCAAATACATAAATTTTAATCGCAGCTCTGCAACTTTGTGATTTAACCTTTCTAAGCTTCAGTTCTCTCATCTATAAAGTGAGAATGATATCAGCTATCAGGAAGTGCAATGGGTTGTGTTAAGGATTAATAGAGCTGCTGTGTGCAAAGCACCTTTTTCCATGTCAGAGCTCAATGTCCTTGTCTGTAGCAGTGGTAGTGACAGTAATCAGCAGTAGAAGCTGTACTGATGGAAGATAATGTACAAGGTAAAGTTGCAGCAAAGAGGAGACAGCAGTGATAGCAGGGTACTAGTCAGGGACATTTTCAAAAAGATGACATGGATCTTGAAGCATGAACAGGAGTTAGTTATGTGGAGATGGAGGAGGGAGCATGGATAGAGTAAAATAAATAACATGAAACTTTCCTTAGGAGATGCAAATTTGCCCAAGATGAGAAATAGAAAGTGGGTGGTTTACCAATATGCTTTAGGTCTACTAAAGTTCTAGTGACCCAGAATCAGAGGAGACTCTGTGCTTGGATTTGAACAAGAGGACCCTTTTAGCTCCCTTTAGAACTAAGGCAGAGGAAACAAAACAAAAAAAACAAAAAATAAACAAACAACAACAAAAAGAACTAAGGCAGAGGATGTGACATGACTCCGGAGATTTTTCCTTGTCTTTCCTATCCTTTCTTCTTGTCTTGGTCTCTTTAATATTGATTTTTTTTTATTTTTTATTTTTTTATTCAGACAGAGTCTTGCTGTGTTGCCAGGCTGGAGTGCAATGGCGTGATCTTGGCTCACTGCAACCTCCGCCTCCCGGGTTCAAGCGATTCTCCTGCCTCAGCCTCCCGAGCAGCTGGGACTACAGGCGGGCGCTACCACGCCCAGCTAATTTTTGTATTTTTAGTAGACATGGGGTTTCACCATGTTGGCCAGGATGGTCTCGATCTCTTGACCTCGTGATCCACCCGCCTCGCCTCCCAAAGTGCTGGGATTACAGGCATGAGCCACCGCACCCGGCCTAATGTTGACTAAGAGGGTCACTATCTATATCTACAGAATGAAATCTAAATTCCTCAGCATGATGTTAAGGCCCTTCAGGACCGAGCCCCAATCTTCCTAACCAGCTTCATTCTGTCACTCATCTCTTCACTCCTTTCCCCATGCTTCCTATTCTCCATAATCAACTCAACATACTTAAAATCTAGGCTGGCAATTTTCTATGCTATGCCTAATATCTACTCCCCTTTCCTTGTTTCCTGCCTAATTTATTCTCTATCCTCCTAGTTGGGGAGGGAGTGCTCTTTGGTTCTTCTCTCTTCCTAAAACTCACCATCCTTCTCCATGGCTTTCCAGGCCAAATCCTCTGTCATGTTTTTCAGGGCTGTCCTCTTTTGCTCATCATTTTAATTTGGCTTTTCATCATTCGGATTTTTTTCTCCCACACTCTTGCCCCTATAAGCCCATCTGCCCATAGCAGCTTGAGTACTCATTTAAATAAATATATACCCCATCATGTCACTTTCCTGCGTAAAACTTTCCAGTAGTTTCTCTTTGCAGTGTTGATGCCCTTTAGCCCAAACCACTGGGACAATGTCCACAGTTAGACAAAATTGGGTTTATTGGCTTGTTGCAATGAGGAGAGAGGGCACACGATGGGAGACTTTGGAGCACCCCAGTGAGAAAGTGTTTGTTAGGAGGGATTTGCTGTAGGATTTGGAGTTGGGTTAGTGAATTCTGGTAAGGAATTAATGACGTGTGGCTTTGCTCTGGATTGAGTACTGTCGGAAGAGCAGGGGCAATTCTAAGACTGCATATCTTGGTTTTGTTTTTTAAATCTGAGAGCTGTTCTTTGTTATCCAGGTGGCAATGCTAATCACACACTGACCTGTTGTCTGTGCTCAGCAGTTAGAATAAAATCCAGATCTCTTTCTATACATAATCTTGTCACTAACGAGGAGAAAAAAATGTACTCCTGATGTCCAAAATTGATCTGATGTTTACAGCTCGGTTGCAATATTATTAGAAGCTAGTCTGAGGCTCATAGCCCAGTGAGCCTAAAAAATCTAAACAGTATGATAGAATAACAACCTCAGACAAAGTTACTCGGAGACCATGATAAAATGAAACAAAACAAGGTCACTTCATAATTTTGTCTTGTCTAAGCATGGATAAAAACAAGGTCACGCATGCACAACTCACAAAATACCCATAGAATTGTCCCCACTTTCTGACAGCATCCAATCCAGAGCAAACCTCTGCTTCCTTAGAGCTACCCCCAAATCACCGGAACAAAGCCTAAATCCCATAATAGGTTCTAACACACTCTTACTGAGGCATCTCAGTGTTCCCCAAGGTGTACATTTCTCCTCTTTGCAACAAGTAATAAACCCAACTGTTTAACAGCTGGTGTGTTTTTCAATCTTTGGCTCAAGGGCCTTGGCACAGGCATTGTTCCCCTGCTCACCTGACTAACCTGGCTTCAACCAACTTGGCCTTCCTTCAGTTCCTTGAAGATAGGAAGTTCATTCCTGCCTTGGGGCTCTGCACTTAACATTATCTTTCTCCTACTAAGGCCCACTCATGCCTAGCTCCTTCTCATCAGGGAAATGTAAACTCTTAAGAATTAAAGGAAAGGAAAATGGTAAAGCTTTCTTAAAAATGGCAGAGTAATAATGTAAGGCATACACCAACAATGCCTACAGAACAGGCTATGCTTGTGTTCCAGTCTCTCACACTGGCTGTTGCTAAGGCTTTACTAATGAGAAAACCATAAAAATTAATCTCCCAGTCCAAGTTTTGCTCCCCTTTTGCTTAGATCTTTACTAGCTGAGACATTGCTGGGAAGTTCCTGAGCAGCTCATGATTTGGGTGTAGAGCCATGAGGCCCTAGATAACTGTCCCTGTGGGCTTTCCACTCTTTGCCTTAATGGCCACTACTTTCAGTAATTCTGTATCACCTTTTCCATTTCCTACATAATTCTTATCACCTTCTAAATTATACTATTGTGTGTCGCTGGTCTTCCTCTACCAGAATGCACATTTTAAGAAGTCAGGGACTATGTGTGCTCATCTTTGTCTCCTAGTGCCTCTACCATTTCCACGAATAACTAAAACATATCTTACCTTGAGCATTACAGCATCTTAATGGGTTCCTCTACCTCCAGTCACTCTCACCTCCAATACAGACATAACTGAATTACTTTTCTGAAACAAAGTGTAGATGCTGGCACTCCCCATTCAAAAACCTTTCAAAGATTCTCTCCTCAAGGTGTTGTCACTTCACTCATCTCAACTTGTCTTCTACTGTAGCTCTCAGAGAGCTCTGAACTTCAGTCATGCTGAATGGTCCCAGACGTGCCACATGCTTTTCAGCAGCCAAGCCTTGACAAGTGCAGTGCTGCTTCTTTTATCTAAAATGTTCTTGCCCACTCCTCTCTTGTTTTTTCCTGAGGGCAAAGTCCTAGTCACCCTTCAAGTTCTACTCCCAAATTGCCCCTTTTGAGAGGTCCCCTCTTTGATATTTCCTTCTGTCCTTCCACAGCTTTTTGTTGTCCACATGACACTATTGACTGCACAGACTTCTCTCGCAGTTGATTGCACACCTGCTGTCTTTCCCAAGACCGTATTTCAAGGGCAGAGACCTATCTGCTCTCTGGGCCTTGGTTTCTTCATTTGTAAACCAAAGATCTTTGTACCTACCTCACAGGGTTCTTGTGAGGCGTAAATGAATTAATGCATGCAATTGGAACAATTACTGGAACATAGTAAACACCATATAAATATTTGCTCCTATTATTATTAATTTCTGTACTCTTAGTACTGGCCTAAAGCAGATGTCAATATGTATTGCTGAATTTGGTTGGAGTAGGGCAGGAAACTTTCAAAAGACTGAGCTTTAGAGATTAGAACCAGGTTGGGAATATTGGCCTTTTTTGTTTTTTCAGTGTCTTTTCAAGTTATTTGTTGTACTAGTCTGTTCTCACACTGCTAAAAAGACATACCAGAGACTGGGTAATTTATAAAGAAGTTTAATTGACTCACAGTTCCGTATGGCTGGGGAGGTCTCAGGAAACTTACAATCATGGTGGAAGGTGAAAGAGAAGCAGGCACCTTCTTTACAAGGTAGCAGGAAGGAGAATGAACGCAGGAGGAACTGCCAAACACTTATAAAACCATCAGATCTCGTGAGAACTCACTATCACGAGAACATCATGAGTGGGTATGATTCAATTACCTCCAACTGGCCTCTCCCTTGAAATGTGGAGATTATGGGTATTACAATTCTTTTTTTTTTGTTTATACTTTAAGTTTTAGGGTACATGTGCACAACGTGCAGGTTAGTTACAAACAATTCAAGATGAGATTTTGGGTAGGGACACAGCCAAACCGTATCATTTGTGTAACCTCCAACGCTACCACCATCCCAAGCTTTGGAGACAGGAGTCAGGGATTAAGAGAAGAGAAATTAGTCCTAAACCTTTACCTTACCTGTGGAATAAGGGTTGATCTGACATGAAGACACCTGCTTCAGAATATTATTTATTTAATTTAATTTATCTATCTATTTTTGAGATTGAATCTTGCTCTGTCGCCCAGGCTGGAGTGCAGTGGCACGATCTTGGCTCACTGCAACCTCCACCTCCCGGGTTCAAGCGATTCTCCTGCCTCAGCTTCCTGAGTACCTGGGATTACAGGCGCGCGCCACCACGCCCAGCTAATTTTTGTATTTTTAGTAGAGACGGGGTTTCACCATGTTGGTCAGGCTGGTCTCAAACTCCTGACCTCGTGATCCACCCACCTTGGCCTCCCAAAGTGCTGGGATTACAGGTGTGAGCCACCATGCCCGGCCCAGAATATTATTTTTAAAAAGCTTCCCTGAGTGCCTTGTTCAAACGACACTTACCCTGAAATGAGTAACATATTTAGCCATTACTCAGAATGCATTCCTCAGAATGGGCCACATCTTTCCCCCATCATATCAGGGGAAGGATGAAATATAGCACCCTCAAATTATAGTAGAGGTGGGGGTTGGAGTGGCAAAAGAAGTCTGGATGAGGTGCTGTTCCTAGAGCTTCTAAAGGATTATTAGAGTTGAGGGAGCTAGAGGGCGCTGCATACAAGAGAGCAAGAAAGACCAGATGTTTCCTAAAATGAGGTTGGTTTGATGGAGAAGCAGGAAAGTGCAGCCAGGGGATCCATGGACTGTAGGTCTCATTCTGCCACTTTTTAGCTGGGATGTCAGGGCAAATTGCTGAACCTCTTTGGCTTCTTCATGTTATGTTTAACGAAGGGATTGAACTAAATGAAGTTTGAGTTCCTTCTGGTATTAACAGGAGGGTGTAGGCGTACGGTGGGATGATTCTAAGTCTAAACGCATGCTTTAATGTATCCTGGGCAGCTCCTTAGACGGCATGTTTCCTTGGCTCCCTCTGGAGCCTACCAGGCTTCTCCAGGACTTGTCTGACCATGCCTACCGTGAAAGCTGCCTCCTGGGTGAATGGCCTGGGTTGTAACTCTCCAGGGAAGTGGATGATTCCTGGAGGCTGTGAGTGAGACTGCTGGGTCAACCTCCAGTGGCCAAAGGCCAATAGGCACAATAGGGTGAAGTTGAGGCTGTGGCCAGATCATTCCTGGTAAGCAGGTGGTATTCTCTGAGATACTTAGGAGCTTGCTCCTCAATCAACTCTGAATCCAAGCTACCTGAGGCATTAAATATACCTGATGATGTCTGCATGTCAGTTACAAGTAATTTCAGATACTCAATTTGTCTATAACAACTGTGTAGTTAGCTATTTTTCATCATTTTCATTTCACAAATGAGGAAGCTCAGAAAAAAGAGTGACTTGTCTGAAAGTTTAGAAACTTATATAGACTTCGTTACAAAGCAAAATTCTGTACAAGCCTGTATTGGCTTTAGCCAAGGAGAGTGGATTAGAGACAGAGAATGGATTTCAGAATAAGAGAATTTTGATTACCAGATGTCCTATGGCACAAGATGTAGTGAAGTGAGCTTTAGAGCCAGAATTAAGACTCCAGCCCTGTCAGGTGCTAGAGGAGGAAATTTGGGCAAGTTAATGCTCATTCTCATTTTCCTCATCTAAGAGATATGTCAGAGGATTAAATAATATAAAATAATGCAGAGCTGCCTGACATGTTACATTATTCCCTTTCATACTACCTTAAATATGTGGATAGAAATACAGAATCTCTCAGTAACTGTTTCATATTTTCCTCTATGTGATTTTCAACAATTTGGTTTCTACCTCCAACCTGACTAAAAATGGGCTAGTCAGGGTTCTTCTCTTGAAGTCAAAGGCTTAATGGGGGGGGGGGGGTGGTCAGCTACTTGCAATTAAGCCATATAAAAGGAAATCATTCTCATCTGCAGTCTAGCTGATAGGACTACGTATTCAGAGGGCAAAGCATTGGCCTGGTGATATAGGGGCAATCTACCTTTTCTAGGCTGACTGGCCCTGGGAGTTTTGCCCAGTGTGAGTGGCCTGGCACCATGGAGATTTACTCAGCACGCTTGATTGGGCCTGGCCCTGGCTAGGAGGATTATGCTTCATCCAATGCTGAAGTCACTTGAAATTCCCCTCATTCATCCAAAGATACAGAAAAGAAGTAACTTATGGTATTGCTGAGAAAAGAACTTTATTGTTAGCTATTCTTGCATCTTTTGTTTTCTATGTGTTCAAACCAGATTGATCGAAATAATCTTTTATATTAAGAATCATAAGCACATAGATTTTATCTCACACCCAGACACTTCATCAAACCATCAAATTATCTTATTCTGTCTTTATCTGTAGTTCTCAGAGGGCTACAGAAGCCAAGAAATGAAGTTTTTATCATTTTTCGCTTTTGAATGCACCCACATTCAGAGAGCTCATTCTTGGGTGGGTCTGACGCTTGCAGTGGAGGTGGGATGAGGCAGGAGGCCAAAGCATTCCTTTTAAGAAATGTCCTGACCTAAACAGTACATTAACAGTACATTAGTCACACACGCGCGCGCGCGCACACACACACACACACACACACACACACACACACACACAGAATCAACTGAAGTGAAATCAAAATTCTACTCCCCCCTACCCCCTTCCTCTTTACCAATCCCCTTTACATCCTGGTGGAGGTCTCTCTGCTTCCCGTGTCTCTATTTCACCCCTTAACAGAGATGCTCAGGTACCTCATGAGGAGCTGAGGATTCACAAACAAAATTCAATCTAAATAACTTTTCAGATATGTCTTCCTGAAATATTTACTAGTCCTCTCCCTGTCTGACAAGTGATCACAACAATGAGTCATCCTTTGGGCATTGATCCATAGCAGCTTGAAATAACAGCAATACCAGAGCTATGACTTTACATTTTCCATTTTTATTAAAACTCTCCCTTCACTTAAACCTGATTATCTTAAGGCTAATTTTATTCCATGCTTGGCTTTCAAGTTTGTGCTGATTTGCGAGCCTTTTCCAAATCACCCTCTTACATGAATGCAAGAAAAACTCTCATCCATGCAATTCCTTGACTCAGGAAAACAAGATCTCTTTACCCACAGAGGACTTTTCAGAAGGTACTCTCTGAAAAGGAGGCAGAAGAAATTGTTTTTACAAAATGAGTTAGGGCTAGAAACTAAATCTATGTACCTTAAACTATAATTCAATCTATATAGTTATACCATATATGATTTCCCAGAGATCTTATCCATATCAGATCAACAGAATAAAACCTAATGAACAAAATCTTCTTGGGGTTCTATATTCCTAAAAAAACGTAATTCCATAGTGTCATCGTTATCCTCTTCTTTACTATAAGGCACACATCTAGAATACTAATCCATTCAGTCCCTTTTTCTATTTATCCATTTCAAATAAACATGATGCAATGTCTACACATTCAGATCTCATACATGTTGATTTTTGTTGCATGGTCTACTGCTCATTTCCCCTTTATCTTTTTCTAAGATTAGCTTTCCCCACACTTCTTTTGGGTGCATATTGTATGCTTCCTGAAAGACAAGTACACAGCGTTTTGCAAAGTGCTGACAATGCACTTGGTAAAGACTTGGTGATTCTGTGACTTAATTGTGACTTACACATTTTTCTATCTCCTCCCATTCAGTGGTTAGTACTTGTGCCTTTTGTGGACCCTCTGCCACTTCAAATCCGCCTCTTATACATACATATTCCTTTACATGCAACTCATGAGAGCTTAAGCCAAGCTCCACTGAGTTCTGAAACTTCTGCAGATGTCTGCTGCTGTACCTGCTGAACATAAAAACACTTGGAGAGGGGACACTCATTTTTTAAAAACATTTTTGATGGAGGGAGTATGGGGGCAACATCTTTTAATTTTTTATTTAAAAAATTTCAAAAATTTATTTTTACATGTATAATTGATGGGGTCATTTTAGATGCAGCAAATTCATAGTCAGTTATTCCCCATTAAGAAATTGTAGACATATTTCTCCATTGAACAGAAGTATTATCCAGATAGCTCTAAGAGCTTCATATTAATAAGCAGAAATTTTATTATTTGAGAATGCTGCTGTTAAGCAGAATTAAGAGAAAGCTTGAATGGAATAAGACTATACATTCAGTGCCAAAATTACAAATGATCACCTCTTCCCTTCTCTCATGACTTCTCTTTTGTACTCAACCAGTACAGAGTATTTTGTAGTTTTGTACTGAGACACAACTCCTACCTCCTCCGGGAAACTACTTTGGGCCCCTCTCCTTCCTTTAGCTTCCTAACAAACCTGGGACTTATAATTTCGACTATGTGTGTGTGTGTGTGTGTGTGTGTGTGTTTGTGTGTTTACAGAATCTCTGGTATCTCCAGTGAGAACAGAGTAGGCCTCACCCTCTCCTCATGACTAAGTCCAGAGAATGTGAGGTGAAGGAGTTCTGTGACTTTTTAACTTGAGTAGTATTCCACTCACTGTCCACAAAGGCTTGGGTTACACTGTCTGCATCACTGATCACAGTAATGTACGTGTGTGTGTATACACACTCACAACCATATTGCCACAAATGCATATTAGAAAGCAGGGCCTTACTTTCCCTGAACTGTTACAATGCCTAGCCCAGAGTACTCTGGTAATAGTGACTTCATGGAGTTTTGTACACACACCCATGTGAGAAAGGATACAAGCTAAGCTACTCATCCACACCTCATGAAACCTATGGGAGTTAGCCCTGACTCATGGTTCATTTACGAATACAGAAGCCCCAGTTAATTAAATTAACTTGGTCTCCCAATCCATGATCTTGAGTTTTAATTGATAAGTATAAAATAAATGACACACTTGAAAATTTCTGGATTCACATCACACCACCAGTACATGGCCTTTTCCATTAATGTCCGCATTGACCAACCTTTCATACTATGTTGGTTCTTACAAGAAATAAAAGCAGAGCCTGCCCCTTTGTTGTGCAGCACAGAGGCTTTATTCTATAGTTTCAGAGTCTCTGGTATCTCCAGTAGGAACAGAGTGGGCCTCACCCTCTCCTCATGACTAAGTCCAGAAAATCTGAGGTGAAAGTTTGACTTTTTAACTTTAGTATTCCACTCATTGTCCACAAATGCTTGGGTTACACTGCCTGCATCACTAATTAAAAGTGAGGTAACCTGGTATAAGCCGTGCCCAACCCAATATTTGAGAACTTTTAGTGAGTACTTAAAAACCAGGCTGTATTACTAAACATCCCCAGCTTCCAAAGTTCAGAAGTTTGGCGGGCCTAATCATTTTCCAAAATGGAATCTTAAGATCTCCAGCTGCCCTCCTCACCGCCAAGTATGAACAATAAATCCTGACTTTAACGCTAAAATTTGCAACTGACTTCTGAGGACATCTAACAGCAGCTGTTTTCCAGCGATGGGAATAGATTACATGGATGCATCTTCCAACACCCTGTGACAAAGAGGTGCAGTGATTCATGATCAAGCCTCTAAAGTGAAAGGCACATAGGCTTTTACAAGGAGAATGATCTGTGTTCAAACTCAGTGTGCTACTTGTTAGCTGTGTGAGCTTAACCAAATCTCTGTGAGCCTGTTTTCTCATCTACCTAATGGGAGTAACACCACCTTGCTCACAAGGTTGTAAACGCTGTACATAATATACATAAAGACCCTTGGCATACTGCCTTAATATAGAAGATAATAAAAGTTAGCCATTATTATTCTTATTCTCTAAGAGTTTAAATCAACTAAAGAGTCTGATTTTAAATTGAATCTTCTCAGACCGAGTCATCCAGGACTAGAATTAACATATGTATATTCTGTCTGTAAGGCAGTTAAATGCCTGTAGAGGTTACTTAGTGGGTTAGAAAGGTTAGAACCCTGAAGTGGAAGGACGTTGTCCCTGCTCCCACTCTCTTACACCTGCAGCACATGCAAGCACGCACACAAATCACACCCCCCAGGCTAAACTTGTATGCCCATTTGTGTATGTCTCCAACGCTACTTGATGAAAATACCTGTAGTCCTTCAACAGGCTGCAGGTGGTCAGAGAAAAAAGAAAGAAAATGCCTGTTGTCTTAACTGTTTTTAGAAATTTAAGATGGGAAAGCGAGGCCCCAGGGAACTACGCATATTCCATTAGAAGAGAAAGCAAGGAAGAGAGAAGGGACTAACTGCTACATTTTCTTGTTGTTAGCAATATAATGGCTCCCACGTGCTGGGATCCCAGTCTGATGAGAAGAAATGAAACGAAGGTCATGGATGGACCTTACTGTCCACTGTGAAAGCTCCTGCAGCACCTTTAGGCCCCACAGCTTCTTCTCAAAGAGACCACCATCTCCAACATTAATAGGCATCCCATCAGCCTCATTGCGGGGGATCTTGTATTCCAGGAGTATCATTAACTCCTCTATCTGGTATGCAAAGGCAGCGACTTGGAGAAGAAGGGTATGTATAGCTTGATGGAAGTCACCTTCGGTTGGGGTAAAATGCACCTGCTGGTCTTCTAAGAGCCTGGCCAACAAAACATGGAAGGTACGATAAGCTTGAAGGTTCTCTTGGAGTCGCTCTGCCTCGGTCAGCTCACTCCACTGATCAGTGCTTGCCACTGGCATCCCATCCGCAGAGTCCAGGTTGATGTTCTTGTTCAGGCCCTGATGCTTCACCTGGCCGAGGATACAGGAAAACACCACATCTTCTGTCATCACCCCAGTGTCCTTAAATCACCCCTAAATTTCATACAAAATCTCACTCATCTCTCTGGCCAAGGATCCAAGTTGTAAAGTAAATAATATGTCTACAGTAGGAACTCTTAATTTGGGCTCTATGACTGGACTTTAGAAAGACCCAATACTGCCTGAAATTGACTACCTATGGATTTTTCTTAGAAGAATGTTCAGATTTTATTGAGTTCTAAAGGTTGAAAACTGATTTAGAAGAATTTTTCCTTCTCACTTCAAACTCTCTCATTAACTGGAATATTTTAATCATATTAAAGTATTTTTAAACATACTTGTAAAAGACACTGGCCACAACTAGGAAAACTTGGAATATAGCCATTGTAGAATTTCTCTAACTTCCCTCTCCCCATTGAGCACTCCCAAAGAGTCTGATTTCTGTCTGGTGAGGCTGTACAAAGATAAATCAGTTCTCAGCCTAAATTCAAAACTCTCCACAGGGGTTGGAGTATTTCCACAGCATATCTCAGGTGGAAATTGATGGGGATCCCCTTACTGTTAGAAGACAAATCTGGAACTCCAGAATTAGCTCAAGAATTTGACACTTCCACAAGTTTCCAATGAATCTTCTAGGAGATCCTTTTGATAGCTTACCTTTCTCTTTAGACACAATCTACTTTTGATGCAGAATACTAAAAGGTGGGTGGCTAATGCTATATAGGAGAAATTGGTAGGATTTACAAATTCCTCCCACGTTCATAGTACTCTTCCTATCCCATAAACCTTTCATTTACATAGCTAAAAAATTCAGAACAATGGCTATGAAGAACCCAGAGGGCCCATGGCTAATCTGTTCTAGTAGTATTCAGAATATATGCCAATAAATTTGGAATAGCCTCCAAGACATATAAACCAATCCTTTCTAGAACTCCATATATATTTTCTCATTCAAGTAACTTCATCTCCTAAACAGCCCAGAGGAAGAAAATAAAGTCACATGGGTTTCCTCAAGGGAAGGGCCCATGTCAAATAACCTATATGAATGACTATATGATTAGAGCTTTCACAATTGGTAATGGAGCTGATGCGTGATGGTAAGTTGCTGGATCAAAAAAGATGAAGGGAAAACAGATAACAGCAAAATAGGCAACTTACATAGGATTCCGTAAGAGCAGTCAGGTCTGAACGAATCTTCCTTGCTAGCCAGATAGAGCGGCTACAGAGGTCCCGACGGTGAGGGGTCAGCGGTGAATGCTCTGTGAAAGCCATCCCTTAACTCAACTGTCCCAGGAAACAAGTCAGCTGGGTTTACTTCTGTCTATACTGGTCCAAATAAGAGATGTGACTCTCAAAGACTAAACCCACTGGGCATTCTCTACTAATGGGATTGTGCACCCCACCCCCACGCCCTGCCTGACTCAGAGGAGGTAGCAAATTCCTGGCTGTGGATTTTTGTGCCTGTGGAATCAAAGGGCCCTTTTTAATCAGATTTTTTTTCCCCTGCAGCGTCTGCCTCCATCTCTCTCCTCCACTCAGTACTTAGCACACTTGTTTCTATGTCATTGTTTTGCTTTTGCACTTAGCAACAAGGTCACTATCATACCAATCCTCATGGCACCCCTGCCTAATGTAATCTATCTCACACACTTAGAATTAGTTCATTTTATTATCATTCTCCCTTATGCTTCCCATGTCTTTTTTCTCATAGGCTGGCGAAATGTTCATTCAATAAAATTGTTATTGACACAGCTGCCATTTATTAAGTATCTACCATGGGTCAGTCAGTAAGCTAAATACTTTAAAGCAATTCCATTTGATCTTCAGAATATTTCTGAGGTAAATGTTATTTCTCCATATAAGAAACTGAAACTTCAAGAAATAACATGCACAAAATCAAGTAACGAGGCTTGAATTTAAATAGAAGTCTGATTCTATAGTTGTCTCTCCCACTGACTTTCCAATTTCATTTTCTGTTTAGGTAGTTCACATCTTGTTCAAGAAACAAAGGGTGTGTGAAGTCCTTTAAAAACAGGATTTTTTTCACTCCTAACCTTACGTACTTTTTAAAGGTAATTTAATTTATACTTAAAAATCAAGCAAGGAAGCATCTCTAATTTCAATCACGGTGCCTTCCTGGTAGCTACATAGGAGGAGGAAGGTACTGTTTAGGCCTGTTCTCTTCCAAAGAACAGGAAACACCCAACGCTAACTTGGTAACATTTCTAAAGCAGTCTCACTCAAGTGACAACATGCTTTCCTTTTTTCTCCCCTACCCAGTCATACCACATGCTTCTTAAAATAAGAGAATGAGCTGGGCTTTGAAATGACAGTATAAAAGTTAAAAGGTACTTGGAGGGTTGTCATTCTATTGCATTTAACTTAGAAAATGATGCTTATTGGGTAAGGGCTAAATGAAATAATTAGCTTTCATTATTTATATCATAGATATTGCCAATAAGCTGAAACACATACCATCTTAGAAGCAAATTTATAAAAGTAAACAATAAATGGGAGATGTAACAGAGCAGCCTGGGCAGCTATCACAGCATGGCTTTTGGAAGGCAGAAGGATTATAGTTTTTTCTTTTTTAAAATAAAAATCAGTACTTGATATAAACATTCAATTTTGAGAAGAAGTATTAATATTAAATGCTATCAAGGTTTTGTCATTATCAGGGTAAAATTAACCTCACATAATCCTTAATTTTCCATCTACTAGGTTAATTAACATATGGCCAGTTTTCCTAGGAGGCAGTTGTCAAAACATCAAGATTTCCAAGTTTGCTGAATAACAGAATCATGTCATTTCAGCATTAGAAATCAAGAACAGTCAAAAATTAACCACCTGATTCTCAACAAAAGCAAACAATAGTATGCCCCACATAACACCTGTTCTGAGGGCATTTGGTTTGCTTAGCAGCATCACATGTTTCACCCCTAGGATAACTGTAACTCAGTACAACCAAGGAAGACAAGTTGCTTCCATGAAGACAACTTTTATTTTTCTTCTTTACATATTTATTTTTAATATGCCTTACCTAGAATAAGAGAAAACAAAGATTTGAAAAGCAAAGTATCCCTTTTATTATAATTTCTTTTTACATAACCTTTTCAACCTATATTCAGGTAACTACCTGTCTCTCCCATGAAAGGAGAAGGGTCCTGCACATTACAACAGGCAAAAAAGGCTTTTAAGAAATAAAATATTTTAAATTGATCCATTACATTTGTTCAATTTTCTTGAGTACATTGGAAAGTGGGAAAAACACAAAAGGAGAAAAAAATGGTATTTCAAACAACCAGACTATAATAATCTTAGTTAGATTGGTAGTACACTCATTATACTTTTTCCCCAAACAGGTACAAAGGAGGTTCAAGTGCTCTATGTGGATGCTAGTCTATACCTCGATATTTTTATTTTACTCCCAGTACTCCCACGGCCATGGCCAGTGTTTGCCTAAATTCTCTGAAGCATATCAAGGAGTCTCAGTTACGCAAAACAACCTTGGGCAACCACAAAGAAGAGGGATGCACATCTCCCAGAAATATTAAATAGCTGTATCTCAACTACAGTTTCAGAATTTAGAACCACCAATTCAAGATGGAAATATGCAGTGGGAAGAGTTATTAAAAAGGTAACAGAATTTGACTAAGAGCATGAAATGTAGAACTTTAAGATTAAAAGAGCTCCCTGGAAGGACAATGAGGCATATGGAGCAGAAGGGAAAGCAGGGAAACGGCTGAGATAGTTTAATTACACCAACTCTACTATGCAGCATCCCTTTATCAAAAGGAAAAATATAAAGTCTATAAAAAATATTTTAGTATTGCAAACTGCTGCAATAATTTATTGTAGGCAAATGGTAGCTATAAAGAGGGTCCTTGACCCCTAAAAGAAAAGAAAAAGTACAGCAAGTTTCTAATTAGTAGAACTAACTAGTTGTTTTTTTGTTGGGAGAGCGGTATAGGAAAGGAGAATACATTTTCTCCCATCTCAGAAAGATTTTTAAAAATGCAGTTTGCTTTTGTGTAGGTGGCTAAAATATCTGATGACTAACCACTGCAAATGAAATTTACGGAGACAAAGGATAAGTGTGACAAAAAAGCTAAGTGTGGAATATAGATGCTAGTTAGTCAAAAAGTGTAAAAGGGACCTGAGAGGAGGACAACTTTTTTGTAGATTCATCTAATCAATCTTGTATTTTCAAATCTAGTCAATATACCAAAGTCGACTCCAAACCATGTTGGCAGGAAAGCATATTCTACATCCCTTCTATCTTTATTCCATTTTCTATCCCCATATTATGGAGAAATGGCAAATCTGCAACACTCTGAAAAGAAACAATAGCGCATTTGAGACTGGTGATTGTAGGTGTCTCACTCTCTGTTCCCTGGCATCCCAAATGCTGACACTAGTTGGTATAAAGTAAGCCTCTTTCAGAAATGACATTTTGTTACTCCTCTTTTTGGGAAAAAAGAATTCTTTGAAAAAATTGATAAGCCATGTTTGTGAAACACAAACTGTTCTTTTTTTTTTTTCCAGCAAAACGTCATTCTTTCCAAGAGCCATCATGCATTTCTGACAATAAACAATGAATAGGGTAAGCCTTCGATTCTAGCTTCTGAGGCACACAGGATAGGAATTACTCTTTACCTGAAGATGAGCCAAAATAGGATTTGGGGCTTCTGGCGGTATGACCTTGTACAAAAACACTACCTTTTCTCTCCAGTGAACAGCAATAAGCAATCTATTCCCCAACACAACCTCTATCCCAAGGAAATTGTGATGCCCAGAATTTTAGGTGAAAGCCAAAGCAATTATTATATAGGATTATTAACTTTGGCTATTGAAGTTTTTCCTCTTCAGAAGTGTTACTAAAGGGGAAACAGAGCAGTTTTCTTTGACTTAAAATTTTAGGACTCATAGACTTTGTTCCTTCACTAACAGCAGTGTCCTTCACTAACAGGGAGCTGGAATGAACTGATAAAGCAAAGCAAGAAACAAAAAGCAAGGAGCCAGAGATGGGCCCCAAGGGAAATGTAAGGAAATGGTAGGGACAAAAAAAAAGGAAAAGAAACAAATTCACAAGAAACAATCATCTATCTGTAATTTAGATTCTGAACAACCCTCCTCACCCTCTCAAAATTCTTAAGTTTCAACACTGTAAAAATCTCAAAGAGCATACTAGTTACCATGAACCTAACATTCTTCCCTAAAAAGGCTTCCAAAAAAGCACTAGGCTATTGTAGTGATTTTGTTAGTGCTGAGGACCAGCTTTCTTTAAAAGCCACTGGAGAGCTATGATTTCAGAGGCTGGCTGTGCTTCTTCAACCCTATGTCTTGCCTTCAAAGTACCTGTTATGGAAGGGATCCCATGTCAAAATAATCTAATCTCTCTCTCCCAGCCCCACAAAATATAGCAACAAAGACTCCAAAAAAAAAAAATCAGACTTCCTGTTAATAAATAAGGAATCTCAGGTTCCACAACACAAAAACACACATGTTCAAAGTGCAAATTTCTGCCATTAGCCTGGGACTTTTCTCATCGTCTCACTGATACAGAGCCCTGTCTTACAGTCAAAGAGACTGTAGAGGGCAGCCCCCTCCCTATTGGGAGCCTGCTTCCAAGCAAGTGAGCACCATTGAGAGCCATATGGAGGGTTGGGAGGGGGACTGAGATGCTGGGATCAAAGAAGGGGGAGGTGGTCCCCATATATCCTTCCTTTCTGAAACCCAGGGGGGAATAAAGGAAGAGGGGATGAGAGATGTGTGCTGTTTTAACAGCTCACCCTGCTAAGGGGCCCTAAAGTGCCAAGTCAAGCTGCCAGCCTCCAGAGATTAGAATTCTATGGTATTTGAAGATAAGTGTGCCGCAGGGGGTAGGAGCCAGAACCATAGGGCAGCAGTAGAGGAGGAGAAGGGATTTAGAAGACAGTAATATATGATTAAAAGTTAAAAGCTGATCCAGAGCACATCAGAGTTACAGGTTGGAAAGGGGGATCTGCCGATGAGCAGGAAGTCTGCTGATGGCTGGAACCGAGTATGAGAATAACCCTCACTTTAAGAGCTGCTGCTGCTTCTTTTTTGTCTACCTTTCTGGTAAAGACAACATCAATTTTATAAGGGGAGCAACAGAGGGAGAACAGGGGATGGGGAGGTGGAGGGTGTATGTATGTGTGTGCTGTGATCCACAATGGAAAGAGCAGGCCCTTCAGTTATTTCACTAGATTTTAAATGCTTTAGATTTTTTTTTTGTCCTTTTTAACTTTTAAATACAAAGTCTGAGCTGTCCCATGCCCCAAGTCTTCCTGTCCACTAAGGTCCGGCAGAGTCTGAATCTTCAATCAGAACCTCTGTGGTAGCACCGAGTATATCTGAGTTCATAACCAGCCCTTCAGTGCCTCCACTGCTGCCGCTTCCCACAAAGATCTTCCCATCAGCCATCAGGCTCACCCGTTCCGTCCCACTGCAGTATGACTTTGACATCCCTTCAGCTTCTAACAGTAGGCACTCTCCAGAGGTTGAGTTTCCCAAGGGCTCAGGAAGAAGAGGAAGACCCTGACCATCTGAAGGCTGCGTCAGGGACTCTGGGTTAGTGCCCAAGATATCTGTGCTGGTGATGAGGGCGCCTGCATTGGCAGCCAGAGCTTCTGCAATCAGCACCTCAGGGTGGCTTTTTGCCTTGTGTGCCACTACGCTGTCCTTCTTCTCAAATTTTTTGCCACAGATATTGCAAGAAAACTGGTAGAAGGAGTCTGCATCATGTTTCTTCATGTGCCAATTAAGAGATGCCTTTTGTCGACAAGTAAATCCACAGATCTCACATCTAAGGAGAGGAGAAAAGGAAATGGCTGATCCAACAGAGAAATAAAGAGTGCTCTTATTCAGGATCAGGGTTAGAGTTTAGAGCATATATATACATACACACACACACACACACACACACACACAATAATCAGTAACATACTTCTTTTGAAGGATTGGGAAATGTTACTAGATGGAAAACTAATCTGATCTTCTTCTGTTTGCCTGAAAAACAGAGGGAAACTAAGAAAAAGGCTACTAACTAATGCCCCCAATCAATATCCACTCATTTATTTGATGAAAGTAAACAGCAGTGGCAACTAATATGTTTGTAAAGCGGCAAACCTTCAAGTAGGGCATATATCCTTCTCACCCAGATGTTCACCAGTAAATAATACTCACTGTAATGGCTTCTCGCCAGTGTGAATCATCCGGTGCACTGCCAGATTGTGGGAACTCTTGAAGGCCCGAGCACAATATTCACAGATATAATCCCTTTGATCTATGAAGAAAATACTGTGGTTAGTGTTCTATTTAGATACCCTGTAAATATTTTCCCTTACAGTAAGTAAGCAGATGATGGGGCAGGCAATTTAGAGTAAAAGCAATGCTGTTTTCAATGTATAAACACTTTGGGTAAACAAAATTTAAAAAAGAAAAGTATTGCTTTAAAAAAAATCCAACATTCAGTAGCATAAGGACCTGTTTAAAAAAAAACAAAAACAAACAGAAAAACTAGATAAAAATATAAGAAATGGAATCCTAATCTCAATTTTACCACTAATCCAGGTCTTGGATACCAAGTGGTTAGCAAGTAAACAACTATATTTTCCATATATTTTACTCCTTTAAGGAGTAAACAATTTTTTTCACAGACAATGAAAACTGAATGATTACACAGAAAGAATCTGGCATTCAAACAAAACAAAAACAAAAAACAAGAACTTGGCACTGTATAGAAGAAAACTGATCTAAAGGTAATCATACCCTGTTTCAGGTTTAAAAAATGTTACTCAAGATAAACTTTTCTCAAAAGACTGGAGTTGCTGCTATCAAATATATGTAAATAACACCTGTACTACTTTACCTTATTCTCCTACCCATCTTCTGCACCTTTCAACTACCTCCCTTTGTCACTCACAACACCCTCAACCCCATTATGCAGGATTTCTGATGAATGTGGTAACACGGTGTGGAATCTATGAGGAGGAAAAAGGAGCATTGTACTTATTCATTTCTTTACCGTGTTTGGGAAGCCCGTGCACAAAGAGATGCTCTCTATATATATTTGTTGAATTAATGACCACTACATTTTCTACTCCTTTTGCTTCAAATTACCAGAATTAATGAGAATGAAAACATGAATTTAAGTTAAAAGGTGAACAATATCCAATTTAATCTTATACTCCTTTCCAAACAGCTTAGAGATCACCTGGATAGCTTATTAAATGTATATGCTGATTCAGCAGGTCTGAAGCAGGGCCTGAGATTCTGTATCTCTAATAAGAACCCAAATGATGTCAATGCTGGTTGGTCTGTATTCCATACTTTATATAGCAAGGTCTAAAAACGCACAGTTCTAACTTAGGAAACTCTTAGCATCTCCCAGGTCATGTCCACATTTCCAGTTCCATAGCAGGACAAACCTGTGTGGGGCATCTATTTGCTAAATAAATGACATTTGCAAAAAAAAGTCTGTATATACTAATTTGCAAAAGTAAAACATCATAAATTGTATTAACCAAATATAAATATTTGAAATGGACTGAATTTATAAAAGTTTTTCATACGCTTTTGATATTTAACTAAAACAATCTAAAGTGGCTGTCAGAAACAACTTTTCTATGGCATAAAACAGTATTAACAGGGAGCAGAAGGAACAGAGAAATTGCAGTACCTATCAAGAAACAGAAATAACTGTTACTTGTGGAAATAACTCTGAAGAAACATGGTATAAGAAAACTGTAGACTTTGGAGTGATTAAGATTCAAGTTCAATCCTGGTATTGTGCCAGGCTCTGTGTAGTCAATAGCATTTTATGTTATCTCATTTCATCCCTACAATAACTGATATTGGTATCCTTAATACACAGAGAAGGAAAAGTGAAAAGAGAAGTTAAGTAACTTTCCTACAGTAAATGAAGGAGTTATTTCATTTATCAGTATGACCTTGGGCAGGAGACATATTTCTACAACTAGAATTCCTAGACTTACTCTCTAAGACTGTTGAGAAGGTAATGTGTAATTATCAAGTGTCTGGGACATACTCAGTGGTATGCACCCAATTTGTTCCTATTAGGTACACTGCACTGAGATGGTCAGTGGTTACAAATAAATTGAATTTGAGTCTATTCTATAATACATATTGCAGACACTCAGCAACTCTTTTTGACAGTTCCTATGGGAGTTTACATGCAAATTCAACAGCTAGACTTCACAGTTTCAATAGCAGCAGAGTATTATGCTTCTCCTAAAAACTAGCTATGTGACCATGGGCAGGTTACTTAATCCTGCCAAGCTTCTAGTTTCTTAGCTGTAAAATAAGATCAATATAAACAAATTTAGTGGTGTTGAATAGACTAATTAGCAATAATATACATAACGTATTTAGTCCACAGTTGATACAGAATAAATGCTCAATAGAAGATCATTATCCCGGTCATAGAAGTTCAAGAAGTCAAAGGATAAAAATTCAAAAGTCCTAGTCTGCCCATCCCTTGTAAAATTTGTCTTACTACATTTTATTTTCACACCTTTTCCCCGCACTTGACTATAGAATCTTTTAAGACTTATGTTAGAAAAACGTTATCATTACCAACATGCAAAACTAAAGCACAGTGCAATTACCTACTTGATAAACACATTTTAAAAGTACCTGTATGATGTTTGGCATGTCGCAGAAGTTGCTTCTGAAGCCTGAAGAGTCGTCCACAGGAGGGATGGGGACATACATATTTCTTCTTCAGCAAATGCTGGTATTTAATGTGGTGCTAAAACAGAGAAAGTGAAAGGGGCGAAAAAAAAAAAATTAAGGCTTCCTGAAAGTACTTGTCTTTGCTAAGTCAAAAGTACTGAAGGAAAACCAAATACTTAGATTTCACACATGGATAGTGAGGGAGTATAATAAAGTGGCTAAGAACATAGGTGGAAATACACAGACCTGGTTTCCAATCTGGGTCTGTCATTCACTAGCCTTTGTAATCTTAGGAGACAAATATTTCAAGCTCCAGTTCTCATTTGTAAAATGGAGGTAACAATAACCATCTCAAAGTGTTGTTATGGGGATAAGAGATTATGTATTGTACTGTGCTTTAGAGCAGCAAATGGCACACAGCAGAGGAGGAGCGGCTATTGTTATAACTGAACCACGATCCAGAAGAAGGCCTTCGTGTCATGTTATATTTGTTGCTGAAGATCAAACAGGTATTTCCTAAGCAGTATTTCACTTTCACGTTTCCTGCCAGACCTAAATATAAGTGGTACGTTTACTCATCAAAAATAATAATAATAATCTACTCAAGAAAAATAAAAACAAAACCTCAACTAAAAGTCTTTTATTCATTCTACACAGTACCCAAGAAATCACAGGTTTGAGTTCTAATTTTACTTTTTTTCTAAATCACTTTAAAATAAAATGTTACTCTGTATTTACACCACATTGGGAATTACTGTAATATTGAAAGATTCCAACGAAAGTTCTCTATGTGGGTTCAGATTCTTAGTCACCTCTTTTTAAACAGGAGGTGCTATGAATTTGGATGTGTTCACCACAGTTCATGTGTTGGAAACTTAATCCCCAATGTGATAGTGTTGGAAGGCGGGACCTAATGGGAGGTGCTTAGGTCTTAAAGGCTCTACCCTTATATAAATGGGTTGATATTATCATTGGAGTAGATTTGTTACAAAAGCAAGTTCAACCCATTCTTGCCCTTCCACCATGGGCTGACACAGTTAAAAGGCTCTTGTGAGATGTGGGCACCATGCTTTTGGACTTTCCAGTCTCCAGAACCACAAGCTAATAAATAAATATATGTTCTTTGTAAATTACCCAGTCTCAGGTACTCTATTATAGCAGCACAAATGGACTAATCATGATTAACCCATTTATGCTGGAGGTTGCAAATGTATTTTTGTGAAAAATCAGACCTTGGTGATGACCTTGAACAGTAGGATATAAATAACTTGCCCAAGCTTAGCATTCTAATAATGGAACACTAGGCATAAATGGGTTAAAGTCATTTTATGTTTAAAGAAAGACTTTTCTTGACATTACATGTCAATGATAAAGCCTACACAAGCCAACAAATTAAAGTCTCGTGGTGCAAGAACAAGTAATGGAACACAACCTGAAAGGCTCTTATATAACAACTTCACTGACCTGCAAATAGCGAGGATGGGCAAGGACAGTTCCACATCCTTCCATCTCACAACGGACATACTGGATTGGAGGCTTTTTTCTATTATCAAAATGCAGAAGAAAAGTTAGCAAAAAAAAAAAAGTGGTACTCTGCACAGTGGCCTCTGACTTAAACTGTGCTATTGGGAATAGCTATTTTATAGTAGGAAGAATTAAAATCTCTTTACTACTATACAGATTACACAGAATTTGTATTAGAAGTAACCAAGAATTAGCAAATATTTGACAGAATTAAAAAGTAACACAAATAAACTAATGACCCCCCAAAGGTAAAGTATTAAGATTGTTAGAAATTTCAAGCTCTTACAATGAAAATAAGATCATAACACCTGTGCATCTAGGACATTAGTGAAGTTGCTTTTGTGAAATTTTTAAATAGCCATTCCTGCAGGATTATCATGAAGTCTAAATTTGTGAGTAAAGTGCCTGGTACTGGAATAAGGTGTAAAACAGTAGGGGTAAAAATTCCTCACCTCCTTTTGGGTAAACGTGGACTTTTGTCATCTTTTCGTCTTCTTCCTCTCCTGTAATTGAAGACAGGGTAACAGTAGACATATTCTGAATCAAAACTACACAGTGAAGGCTGGCTGAAGACACACACACACACACACGGCCAAAGAACAAGTGGCAAAGGATAACCAAGAATACATAAAGTCAAAGATATATCTGGCAAATCAAGCAAGTAATTTTACCCTGAAGTAATTTCACTTTCAAATCAGTCTGTAAGACAGATTAAATATATACCTTCCATAAACTATGCAATACTATGAAAGACTTAGAAGAATCTCAATGTATTACTTTTAGAGTTGCTACCATGTATCATCTAAAAACACTAAGATTAAAAAATACCTTCTCCTTGCAATAGAACTGAAAAACCTAAACATTTTTTTACTAAGAGTCTCTCCAGTGAAATTGTCAGCTGCTTGAGGCCAAATTTTTTTAAGTTAAAAAATACATATTTTGAAGCATGTATACGTCAACATCCTTCCTCACACTCCCACTCTTTTTTCCACTAGTCGTTCAAAATCTGTTAGATTTTCATTTTTAATAATTGCCTACTCACTTCCTTGGAGGTTCCTCATCCTCTCTAATTTCATTCTCCTCTTCTTTCACCTCCACCTCTACTTCCACTTTAATTTCCTTCTTCTCCTTCTCTTCTTTTACCTTCCCTGATTTTCTCCGTGGCTTTGGGGTTTCCCTGAAAACACAAATGCATTTCAATACTAGACAAAAGATCTTTTCAAGGAAGACTATGACAACAAATTAAAGCTTAGAGTTATCACTGATTTGTTATAAAACTACCTTCCTCAGTTCATGAAATGTGATTTCCTACCAATCATCCTCACATGCATAGTAATGATCCAAATATATGTATATGTTGCTCATGGAATGAACCCTCCCCAGACTAAAGATGCCTGTAAATCAAATTTCACTATAATTGTAAAGAGAAACGAGACAATTAGTTAAAAAATTCTAAGTATTCAGGCAATTCATGATACCTTGTTGAAATAAAACATGCAGACTCATAAAAACTTGTATATAATCAAAATAAAGTTCTACAAATGGGAAAGAGGATTATTATCAGGGTATATTAAGGTGTTAGACTTACAAAAGAAGTGCATAATTAATTACTCATTTAAAATTAATTCTATACCCATTAGCTTGGCAACAGATAAAATAAAAGCATGCAACAGTGCTTTCCTACTTATATTTCATTAACATGTCTGCAGTAAAATCTGAGACATGCCTTTCTAAGTGGGGTTTGTAGGTCTCATCTCTTGGATCATCTTTGAATGGTATCTCCTCTTCACTGATTAACATCTCTTCTTCCTCCTCCTCTTCCTCTTCACTACTAAAAATAAGTAAATAGAAATGAGACATTCTGGTTGTAGCGAACATGTCTGAGGGGATTTTATTTGGTAATTTTTTAAGAGGTAGCCAAACACTGATAAAGTCATCTAGCATTTTCATCCTAATGACCTAATTGGACTGAAATCTAGCTGTTTTATCACAAAGAATAATAATTGAAACTAAAAAGACATAAATCCTAGATAAAGACAGGGTGATGACAACTCAATGGCATTAAAAGTTAAGAAACAACTGACTTTGTAATACTGTCTGGTGATCTGCTATATTAAAAGACCTACTAACAGATAAATCACAACACAAAAGATTCCAATAAAATCTCAAAACCTTGGCCAAAACACCCATATTTCACATTAGTGCCTACCATGGAATAAGTCCAAACACAGAAGATACTCAAGACATGATTTCTAAGCTATGTAAGTAGATTACATGGTTTAAGTTCTAATCAAGCTCAACATGGAATCTAAATGCAGTATCAAAACTGAAGTTAATTTCTCTTACAGCTCAAAATAATTTCAAATGGAAGCAACTTCTGAATCATTTACTGTGACTATGCTATGTCCCCAAAGGTTTAAAAATGAAATATTAATGTTTTTTTTACCTAATGCCACCTGGAGACTGATGCTCTTCTCCAACATCTAGAAAAACAAAGCCAAAAACAAAATTTTATTAGTGTAGATATAAGATATTTTCTCTCTGCAGTCAAGAAATGCAAATCAAATTACTGCATGGGGTAATTATACAAAAGCAGAATATCTGCAAACTGTTCAAAGAAATACCACCTACACCATCAAACCTGCCCCTGACAGTTAAGCTGTTAACACAAATGTTCAACATTACATTTAAAATGTAACAGCAACTAGTTAGTAAACAGCCATATTCTAGTTGCACTGTACCATAATCAAGTTGGTCTGTATTTGGTTCTGACTTGCAAATGAGCTGCAATGAACCGGTCTTGGACCGAGAGCTTCGGGTGTTCTCTGTATCACGATGGCGAGAAACAGATGTCCTACTACTACGCCAGCCCCGGCTAGGTCTAGATGCAGCAATGGAAACTTCCTGAGGGAGGGCAGAATCGTCTTCTTCCTCTTTTTCTTCCTTGGGATCTAAATAAAAAGACATACCATTCTCTTTAAGTTTACAGTTAACCAATAACCATCCCTGTATATCTACTAATTGTAAATACAGTTGAAGATAAATTAAATATTTTCAAAGGAAAAAAAACTGAAGACTTTAATTGAAATAATAAAAAAAGGAAAATGAGATAAAACTTATCCTTAATGTCATCATGCTAAAGAAATTACTTCATGTTGCAAAGTAGTAATTTTATACTGCCTTATCTTCTAAAAAATGCAATGCTAACTATGCAAAATACACTTAAGTAACTGGATTCATGAAATTCTACCTTTTAGATCTAAGTTAAAAGAAACTAAATTAATTAGTCCCAAAAAGATGACCAGAACTACAGAGGCACCAAAAAGAAAGAACCATAGATCTAGATGTTATTTACAACCAAACAAGTCTATAACAAATTACTAAAGAGGAATTCCTAACAGGAGTACTTTTCACTCTAATCAAGAGTTTTTCTTGGAACCACACCATAAATTTGAACTAATCTATAGAGCAATTGAATGGTAAAGTCCAGCTCTGGTGCTATTCTGTTTCAGTTGTCCTATAAGACATTGTGTACAGGAGCACACACAAATCTGTTATTGTTATCCTATATTTTGTCATGTTTTAAGGGTGAAGTACGGTAGGTCATCCTCTCTTGAGTAGTAAGTAATAAAAAGTTAATCTCAGAAACTGGCTTTCATACCTGGCGTAGCTAAATACTTAGACCTATATAAAAAAAAAGTACATTAGAATTGAGCCCATTTTAACAATAGAAGATTCTTTAATAAACTCAGAACGGGAAAGGCCCAATAATAAAACAAAATTTCAGGTCATAAGATACACATAAAAACAATTTTCCTCATGGCAAAAATCAACCATAAACAAAGTCTAATAACCCAATAGAAAAATAGGAACTAACAGGCCGGGCTCAGTGGCTCACACCTGTAATCCCAGCACTTTGAGTGGCCAAGGCGGGCAGATCAAAAGGTCAGGCGTTTGTGACCAGCCTGGCCAACGTGGTGAAACCCCGTCTCTACCAAAAATACAAAAGGTAGCCAGGCGTCGTGGTGCCTAACTGCAATCCCAGCTACTGGGGAGGCTGAGGCAGGAGAATCACTTGAACCCGGGAGGTGGAGGTTGCAGTGAGCTGAGACTGCGCCACTGCACTCCAGCCTCGGCGAAAGAGCAAGACTCCATTCCAAAAAAAGAAAAAACAAAAAACAAAAGCTCAAAGCTCAATCCACTCAGAACAAGAGACTCAAATGAAAACGATAGCATGACACCATTTTTCATGTATCATATTGGGGATGATCATATTTGACAACATAATGTATTGTCAAGACTGTGGGAAAACAGGTCCTCTAACACACATATGATAATGTATTAGCAAAACCTCCATGCAGACCAATTTGACAATATACATCAAAATTATAAATGTATATACCTTTCCACATGATGTTCAACTACTAGAAATTTATCCTACAAAATTACAATCATATTTATAAATGATTAACATATAGCACTGTTTTTAAGTAGTAGAAGAGTAGAAAACAACATTCAAAGAGGGATTGGTTTCACAAATAATTGTGTACATATGTAAGAGAGAGATATATATGTAAGATATATATACACACAAATATATAACTTATGAAACCAATCCCCCTTTGAATGTTTAGTTGTCTACTCTTCTACTACTTAAAAACAGTGCTACACATTAGTCATTACAGTATGTGTGTGTGTGTGTATATATATATATCTTACATACTATAATAACATTTCTGGAAGAAGTACAAGAAATTCTTAAGTACTGGTTACTTCCAAGGTAGGTCCAAAAATATGTGTAGTAATTTCACCTTTAAGTATATGCCCTAGAAATATAAACTACCACATGGAGGTTAACTGTATTATGTTTATAATAGCAAAGAACAGAAACAACCTAACCCTCTGTCAAAGATAAAGTGCTTAAATAAACCATGATACCTTAGTATGATTGAATACTATATAGAGGTAGGTTTATGTTAAAAATGACATGGAATTATCAGCAAAAATATTGTTAAATGTATAAAAAAGACACAAAACTATATATACAGTATGGCAACATTTTTGCTTAACATTAAAAAATAGTTTACTATGGAGCAATGTGGTGACTATAGGCTATTTTAGCTTTAATTACACTGAAAGTTTTATGACAATATACTGAAGTAATGAAATTAGTTTGAAACACAGAGATAAATAGCAGTGCGAACAGTTCTAAACAACCATCAAAATCAGTTGTGCATTTCCTTTCAGCTGTCTTTTTCCATTCATTATTGCATCACCCTCCTATCTGAGCTATTTTAATAGAAAAAATAAAAAATAAAACATTAATATAGGTGAAAATACCTCAAAGGCCATTCAGTCTAAGCACAATCCATTACGTTTTACCCATAAAGTATCTGGAAGCCCAAAAAAGAAGCTTATTCAAAATCACAAGGTTAGCTAAGGACACCTAGATTTAGAAATCATATTTTGAGATTAATAATGAAGGACTTTTACATATAGGTCATGACTACTTTTAAAACAATTTCATCAAAAAGAACAATTCAACACCACCTATGAAGTATTACAACATTTAATAATAGACACATCTTTTTTTTCCTTAACCCAACTGTACCGAGTTGGACTTTGAACTCACTCCATAACCTCCTGTCCTCAACAAAGCTCCTTTCTTCTTCATGATGAAAGGATGGTATGCCCACAACCTCCTATACTGTAGATTTTACTCACTGGATAAATGATGCCAATTTGATAACAATAGTTTACCATTATGAATAAGGCATAATAGCCTATCTTATTGAATACTACTGCTCCCGTCCCCTAAAAATCTAGTCTTAAAAAAAAACCACTCTGTCAGAGATGACAGCAAAAATGTCCCTCCACAGAAATAAACACATATCATGAACAAACACTGTCAGAATCAACTTTGTGGAAACTCTTAACAATAGTTAAAGGTTATAAAAGCCAAGTGAGCACTGAATCAAGAAAAAGGTGAGTAAAGATGTTTAAGGAAATCTGTCAAATCACTTGATGAATATAAGCGAAAGGACCAGAACCTTTAGAGACCACAGAGACCAAAGTAGGAGCTAAACATTAGGTACTCATGGACATAAAGATGGCAACAACAGAAACTGGAGATTATTGGGGGGAGGTTGAAAAACTATTGGGTACTATGCTCAGTACCTGCATGATGGGATCATTTGTATCCTAAATTTCATATCATACAATATGCCCCAGTAACAAACCTGCACATGTACCCCCGAATCTAAAATAAAAGTTGTAAAAAACAATGTTTAAAGAACTAAAGACAATCAGAGCTAAAGAAAATCACTGACAAAGTACTAAAGGAAATCAGAAGAAATATGTCTCGACAAATACAGAATACCAATAAAAAGATAACTATAAAAAGGAACCAAGAGAGGCCGGGTACAGTGGCTCACACCTGTAATCCCAGCACTCTGGAGGGCCAAGGTGGGCGGATCACCTGAGGTCAGGAGTTCGAGACCAGCCTGGCCAACATGGCAAAACCCCGTCTCTACTAAAAATACAAAAATTAGCTGGGCTGCTTGTAGCAGCGCATCCCTGTATTCTCAGCTACTTGGGAGGCTGAGGTAGGAGAATCACTTGAACCCAGGAGGTGGAGGGTGCAGTGAGCCGAGATAACACCATTGCACTCCAGCATAGGCGACAAGAGTGAAACCACACCCCCCCCACAAAAAAGGAACTAAGAGAAAAAAATTCTAGAGCTGAGAAGTATAATAACTGAAATTAAAAATTCACCGCAGACTTGAAAAACAAGAATCAGTGAACTTTAAGCTAGGCCAACAGAGATGATCCAGTATGAAGAATATAAAGAAAAAAAGAATAAAGGAAAATAAAGCCTAAGAGATCGTTTAGACAACCATTAAGCATGCCAACAGATGCATAATAAGATTTGCAGAAGGAGAGGAGAAAATGAACAGAAAGAATATTTGAAAAACTATTGGGGAATATAGTCTGTACAAACAAGAACTTTACCTAACTCCTAGTAGGATAAATGAAAGAGATCCCCACCTAGACACATTATTATCAATCGGTAGAAAGACAAATACAAAGAACCATAAAAACAGCAAGAAGTGACTCATAAGCAACAAGGAATACTCAACAAGATTAACAGCCGCTCATCAGAAACCATGGAAGTCAGAAGGCAGTGTGATAACAAAGTGATGAAAGGAAAAAAAAAAATCGTCAAGCAAGAATTCTATAGCTGCCGAAACTATTCTTTAAAAACGAAGATGAAATTAAGACATTACCAGAAAATCAAAAACAGATTATCACTAGTAGATCTGCCCTATAAAAAATGCTATCAGGAATCCTCTAAGATGAAATTAAAGGACACTAGAGAGCACTTAAAGCCATAAATTAAAACACTGGCATATTTTACAGAGGCAAAAATATGATATTGTACTTTTGATTTCTAACTCCTTTTTCTCCCTACATGATTTGAAAGACAAATGTACAAAATAGCAACTGTAAATTTATGTTAATGGGCATTTGACATCAAAACATACACTTTGCAACAATAACATAAATGGTGAGGCACAGAATAGTACAGAGCAGAGATATGTTTACTACTGAAGCTAAACTGGCATTAAACTAGATAAAGTTTAAAGTACTAAATGCAATCCCCAGGTAACCCCTAAGAAAATAAAAATATACAGAAAATGAAAAGAGAAGATGGTACACTGCTATATATCTGCAACACAAGGAAATACAAAGAAAATAAAGATCAAAATAAAAGATATTAAGACAGGTAGAAAACACAAAGCAAAATGGCAGGCCATTCTTATCGGTAGTTTACACATACATATAGTGTGGAATTAAAAGGTACATATTAGCAGAATGGATTAACAAAAAATACAACCAATCTACAATCTGTCTACAAGAAACTCACGTTAGACCTGGTTGTCCAATCTTTTGGCTTCCCTGGGCCACACTGGAAGGAGATGACATGTCTTGGGCCACACATAAAATACACTAATGATAGCTGATAAGATAAAAAAATTTAAAAAAGAACTCATAATGTGTTAAGAAAGTTTACGATTTTGTGTTGGGACACATTCAAAGCCGTTCTGAGCCGCATTCAGACTGCAGGCCATAGTGGACAAGTTTGCTTTAGATCCAAAGACACAAACAGGTTCAAAGTAAAAGAATGGATTAAGATATTACATGCGAATAGTAAGCAAGAGAGAGCTGAAATAATGTATTAGTCTACCAGGGCTGCTCTACCAATCACAACAAACTGGGATGTCTTAAAACAACAGAAATCTATTCTCCCATACTTCTGGAGGATAAAAGTCCAAAATCAACACAATAACAGACCACACTCCCTCTCAGACTCTGAGAAGAATCATTCCTTGCCTCTTCCTAGCTTTTGGTGGTGGTCAACAACTTGGCTTATAGCTGCTAACTTCAATTCTATCTCCATCATCACACGGTGTTTCCTCCTGTCCCATGTGTGATGTCCTTATTCTTATAAGGACATCAGTCATAGTGGATTAGGGCCCATTGTAATACAGAATAACTCCATTATAACTTGATTACATCTGCAAAGATCCTATTTCCAAATAAGTTCATATTTACAGGTATTAAGGGCTAGGACTCAACACATTTTTGGAGGGATAAAATTCAACCCGTAGTAGTCTGTACCTTCTGGTTCCCTAAAATTTATGTCCTTCCAATGTGCAAAATACATTCACCTAATCCCAACCTCCCAGAGTCTTAACCCATTCCAGTATCAAGTCTAAATCCAAACAATACCTAAAAATCATCAACTCAAAAGGGATCAAATCTCATCATCTAGATCAGTTATGAATGAGACTGGGGGTATGGTCCACTCTAGAGCAAAATTCTTCTCCATCTGTGGAGCTGATTCCAAAAAACAATGGTGGGACACTTATAGATTACACATCTCCATATCAAAAGGAAGAAAATAGAAGGGGGGAAAAAGGGTCAGGGGTCCCAAGTTAGTCCAAAACCTAGCGAAAAGCATTAGACTTTAAGCCCTAAGAATAAGCTTTTGTGGATAATGGTTTGTACTCTGAGTCCACTGGGGAAATAGCCCTGCCATCGTGGCCCCAGGAAGTCTAATACACCCAGGACCCAGCATTTGCAGCTCTACCCTCAGCATCATTCTTCTTTAATTCCATTCTGTCTCTGTCCCATTCAGGCCAGCCTGGCAGTGTTTCTGCTGTCACAACATTCTCAAAAACTTTGTCAGTCTTTCATGAAATTCAGGGGGTCGAAGCCACCAAATGAGAGTCCTCCACAGATCTTTCCTGAAAAATTGCATGTCTATTCTGGGAAGTGCTGAGATGGCTGATTCGATCCACAAGTTATATACCAAGTCTCTTTAGAGAATAGCTGTCCAGTCACAGCCTTGGTCCTGTACCACAATACACTATTTGGACAGACTAAAAAATTTTCAAATTATCAAGTGCTGGCTCCTTTTTGCTAAACAATTCATTCCTCAATTTATATCTTTCCTCTCACACATTAGTATATAAGCAAGAAGAAACAAGGCTATACCTTCTACACGTTGTTTGTAAATCTACTCAGATAAATATCCAAGTTCATTGCTTACCCAATGATAGAACACAATTCAGTCAAGTTCTCTGCAACTTTATAACAAGGATCACCTTTTCTCCACTGTCCAATAACATGTTCATCATTTCCTTCTAAGGCCTCATCAGACTGCCTTTAACACTCATATTTCTGTTGACCATCTCTTCAAGGCAATCTACGCTGTTTTTTCTTTTCTTTTTTTTTGAGACAGAGTTTCACTCTTGTTGCCCAGGCTGGAGTGCAACGGCGCAATCTTGGCTCACCGCAATCATCGCCTCCTAGGTTCAAGCAATTCTCCTGCCTCAGCCTCCCGAGTATAGCTGGGATTAGAGGCATGCACCATACCTCAAAATACTCAAAGCCAATATCCATTACCCAATCCCAAAGCTATGCCAACATTTTTAGGTACTTTTTCATAGCCCACTTCCAATACCAAAATGTATTAGTTTCCTAGGGCTGCCATAACAAATTACCACAAAAGCCTATTTACTACAAAGCCCCTATTTCTCAATGTTCCATTCACAGGTACCTGAGTTAAGACTTCAACATCTTTTGAGGAAAGCAATTCAACTCGTAAAGGTGGCCCTACTAATATCAGGCAAAATGCACTTCAACAACTGTTACAAAACACAAAGAACATTATACGTTAATGAGAGGGTCAATCAATCTAGAAAATATAATAAATATAAACCTATACATAGCTAACACAGGCCCCCTCTCCCTCTCCCCCCATCTCTCTCTCGAGATATATCAACATATAACATACATAGCAAAGATTTACAGAACTGAAGAGAAACAGGTAATACCACAATCACAAAAATGGAGACATCTGTATCCCACTTTCAATAACAGAACCAAACACCAGTCAGAAGTTTGATAAGGAAATACAGAACTCAAGCAAAATTAAAAAATTAGACATATTAGACAAAATTAGACATAATGTTAAAAAACAGACATATTGGGCCAGGCGCAGTGGCTCACACCTGTAATCCCAACACTTTGGGAGGCTGAGGCAGGCAGATCACCTGAGGTCAGGAGTTTGAGATCAGCCTGGCCAACATGGCGAAACCCTGTCTCTACTAAGAATACAAAAATTAGCCGGGCATGGTGGCGTGTGTCTGTAGTCCCAGCTACTCGAGGACGCTGAGGCAGGAGAACTGCTTGAACCCAGGAGGTGGAGGTTGCATTGAGCCAAGATCACACCACTGCACTCCAGCCTGGGCGATAGAACGAGACTCCATCTTGGGGGAAAAAAAAAATTCACAGACATATTGAAAAGTCTCAATAAATTTCAAATGGCTGCAGTCATATAAAGTACGTTCTCTCTGACCACAATTGAATGAAACTAGAAATCAATATCAGAAGGAAAACTAGAAAACTCACAAATACATGAAAATTAACACACTGTTAAACCAATGGATCAAAGAATAAATCACAAGGAAAATTACAAAATACTTAGAGATGACTGAAAATGAAAACAAAATATCCCAAAACCTAGGGGATGCAGTGAAAGCAGTTCTCAGAGTAAAATTTCTAGATATAAATGCCTACATTAAAATAGAAAAAAAAAAAAATCACATGCCTGAATCAATAACCTAACATCATACCCATAAGAGCTAGGAAAAAAGGAGCAGAGTAAACCCAAAGCTAGCAGAATAAAGTAAATAAGTTGGTTCTTTGACAAGATAACAAAATCAACAAACTTTTGGTTAATAAGAGAAGACCCAAATTACTAAAACCAGAAATGAAAATGGGACACTACCACTGAAATAAACATAAGAAAACACAATGAACAACTGTTTGCCAACAAATAACATAGATGAAATCAACAACTTCTTAGGCACACACAAATTACCAAAAACAATTCAACAAGAAATGGAAAAGATGAACATATCTTTAACAAGTAGACAACTGAGTCAGTAAACAAAAAGCTCCCAATAAAAAGGCCAGAAGCCTCTAGATGGTTTCATTGGTTGATTCTACCACACATTTAAAGAATTAACTCCAGTCTTCCTCAAACTCTCTTAAAAAATAGAAGATGGAACACTTCCCAACACATCCTATAAACACAGCATTATTCTGACACCAAAGCCAGACAAAGACACCACAAAAAACCATAAGCCAATATCCCTTGCAAACCAAATATAGCATCATATTAAGAAGATTAAACACTATAATCAATTGAGACAGGTCCCAGGATTATGAGGGTGGTTCGATATACAAAAACATATGTAATATCCCACATTAATAAAGAGAGGAAAAAACACACCATTATCTCAATTGATGTAGAAAAAAGAAAAAGAACCTGACAAAATTAAACTTTCATGATAAGAACACACAAAAAACTGGGAATAGAATTGAACTTCCTCAACTTGACAAAGAACACCTTTAAAAACCCCAGAGCTCACATCATACGCAGTGGTAAAAGACAAAGCTCTCCTGCTAAGGTCAGGAACAAGACAAGGATGCCCTCATTCTTCACTTCCATTCAACACTGTACTGGAAGTTCTAGCCAAGTAATTACTCAAGTAAAAAAAGAGGCACCCAAAGTGAAAAGGAAGAAGTAAAACTGTATCTCTATTTGCAGGTGAAAAGACCTTACATATAGAAAATTCTAAAGAATTTTCACAAAAGAAAACTGTTAAAGGTCATATACAAATTCGAAGGGCCAGAATATAATACCAACACGTAACATTCATTGTTTTAAGCATATTAGCAATGAACAAAAAGGAAATTAAGAAAATAATTATTACCTTTATTCAAAGTGCCAGAATATATGACCAACATATAACATTCATTGTTTTAAGTATATTAGCAATGAACAAAAAGGAAATTAAGAAAATGATTACCTTTACAATAGAATAAAAAGGAATAAAATATTGAAAAATTGTTAAGATGACAATACTCTGAAAATAAACCCACAGATTAACTGTAATTCTTATCAAAACCCCAGCTTCCTTTTTGGTAGAAATTGACAACCCAATCCTAAAGTTCACAGGAAAATGCAAGGGATCTACACTAGTCACAGCCATCTTGAAAACAAACAGAATTAAAGACGCACTTTTTTCTTCTCAATTTCAACACTTACTATAAAGCTTCAGTAATCAATACAATGTATTACCGGCATAAAACTAATAATAATTGAATCAACTAACTGAATTAAAGGTCCAGATATAAATCTATACATCTGTGGTCAACTGATTTTTAAGAAGGTGGCTAAGACCATTCAGTAGGTGAAAACAGTCTCTTCAAGAAATGGTGCTAAGACAAATGGATATCCACATGCAAAAAATGACGTTGTATTCCTACCTTATACCATATATAAAAATTAACTCAAAATGGATCAAAGACCTAAACACAGGAGCTAGCACTAAAAAATGCATAGAAGTGAAGATAACCCTACAGAATGGGAGAATATATTTGCAAGTCATATATCTGGTAAAAGTCTAATATCCAAAATATATAAAGTCTTTGGATTTAACAACAAAAAGAGAAACAACCCAATTAAAACATGGGCAAAGAACCTAAACAGATTATTTCTCCAGAGATATACAAAAGGCCAAAAAAGTACTTGAAAAGATACGGAACATCAGTCATTAACGAAATGCAAATCAAAATCACATGAGATTACCATTTCCCACATACTACAATGGCTAACTAAAAATAATAAAAAAAGAAAATAAGAAGTGTTGGTGAGAATGCAGAGAAATTGGAACCATTGTTTATTGCTGGTGGACATGTAAAATGAGGCAGCTAATGAGGAAAACAGTGTTATGGAAAACCTAAGAAAACAGTGTTAAGAAAAATGTTAAGAAAAACTTAGACACAGAATTACCATATGATCCAGCAATTCCACTTCTAGGTACATACACCAAAAATTGAAAACAGCTATTCAAAGAAATACTTATTACATATGAATATTCATAGAAGCACAATTCTCAATACCCAAATTGTGGAAACAACCCAAATATCCATTAACCAGTGAATGGATAAACAAAATGTCATATATACATACAACGAAAATTTTTATCCAGCCATAAAAAGGAATGCAATCTTAACATGTTACAATGTGAACCTTAAAAATATGCTATATGATAGATGCTAGAAACAAAAGTCACATATTGCACATATTGTATGATTCCAATTACATATAATATCCAGAATAGGTAAATCCATAGAGACAAAGCAGATTAATGTTTGTTGCAGCTGAACAGGAGGGAAGGGGGAATAACTGCTTTTAATGGGTACAGGGGTCTCCTTTGTTGGTGGTGATGAAAATGTTTGGAACTAGATAGAAGTGATGGTTGTACAACACTGTAAATGTACCAAATGTCACTGAATTGTATGCTTTCAAGTATTTTTTACTATTTTTTTGTTATGTGAATTTCACCTCAAAACACACACACACACACACACACACACACACACACACACGTGCACAAAAGTATTGCCAGGTTTCTGGAATAGAAATTGACAACTGAAGGACAATCCATACATTAGCATAAACAATCATAAACAGATAGGAAACAAGCCAAGTTTCTTCTGTGTGGTACTTCAAAGACAATTTCCAGTTGTTTCTTATAATAGCAGCTAACCTTGAGGAGGTTCCTTGATACATAAATAATAAGAGAAAAAAGCCATACTAGCTTGGGTAAAGGAAGACATCATACTAGTCACTGCATGAGCAACATGCAGGCACAGTGAATATAACTACAGTTAGTTAACCCTTGAACAACAAAGCTTTGAACTGCATGGATCCATTCATACGCCAGTTTTTTAAAATATGTAAGAAAATTTTTTGGAGATTTGTGACAATTTGAAAAAACTTGCAGACAAACTGTGTAGCCTAGAAATATTGAAAAATTAAGTTATGTCATGAATGCATAAACTATAGATACCACTCTATTTGATGACATTACTGTAAAATATACACAAATATAAAAAGTTAAAATTCAACAAAACTTACACACACAAAGTCTTAGACTATATATGGTATCATCCAAAGTCCAGAGAAATGTAAAGAAACGTAAAGATGTACTAATGAATAACTGCATAAAATTAACTCCGTACATAATAATTTCATAGCTATCTCCTGTTGCTATTGCAGCAAGCTCAGCTGTTTCAAGTATCTGCTTAAAATGTCATGAGGATAATCATCACCACCTGAGTGAATTTACTGTCACAGTAGAAGTGGTATCTCTCAGTTAACTCATTTTTCACTATGTTTAGAGCAATACCTGAAACCTTGACTAACACTACGGGACCCATAAGAGTTGCCACTAGTGATACTGGAAGTGCTTCCAAGAAGCAGAGAAAAGTCACGGTATTACAAGAAAAAGTTGAATTGCTTAATAAGCATAGAAGGTTGAGGTGTGTAGCTGCAGTTGCTCACCATTTTAAGATAAATGAATCCAACATAAAAAGTATTGAAGAAAAGGAAATTTGTGAAGCCACTGCTGCACCTACAGTAGCAGGTGCAAAAATCTTGCAGTTTTTGCAAAATACTTTTATCTCACATTCAAGATGCAGCTTTTATGTGGGTACAGAATTGCTATAAGAAAGGCATACCTACAGACTCTAAGTAAACTCATTATATGACAACTTAAAGCAAAAGAAAGGTGAAGAAAGAATTTAATGTCAGCAAAGAATGGTTTGATAATTTCAGAAAGAGATTTGGCTTTAAAAATGTCAAGATAATAGGAGAAACAGCTTCTACTGACCAAGAGGCAGCAGACAAGTTCCCAGGCACTGTTAAGAAAACAGCTGAGGAAGGATATCTGCCTAAGTTTTTAATGCAACTACCCCAGTCCAGAAAAAAATGCCACAAGAGACATTTATTATATTAGTAAGGTGGGGAAGTAAGCAACAAGATTTAAAGCAGGAAAGGATAGGCTAACTCCACTGTTTTGTGTAAAAGCAGTTAGGTTTATGATCAGGGCTGCCCTTATCTATAAAGCTACTAACTCCTGAGCCTCGAAGAGAAAAACTAACAATCTTTTGGTGGTACAACAAAAAGGTCAGGAAAACAAGAACTAATTTTCTAGACTGGTTCCATTGATGCTTTGCCCCTGAAGTAAAAAAGTACCTTGCCAGTTAGGGACTGCCTTTTATGGTTCTTTTGATATTGGACAATGCCCCTGGTTACCTCATGAATTTAACATCAAAGGTGTTGAAGTGGTCTACTTGCCCCCCAAACACAATGTCTCTAATTCACCTTCCCAATCAGCGGGTCATAAGAATCTTTAAGTCTCATTACACGATATTCTATGGAAAAGGACTGTTAACTCCATGTAAGAAAATCCCAATAGAGAGAACATCATGAAAGTCAGGAAGGATTACACCACTGAAGATGCCATCGTTATAGAAAATTCCTGCTGGAGAAAATTGTGTCCAGATGTTGTGCATGACTTCACAGGATTTATGGCAGAGCCAATCAAGGAAATCATGAAAGAGATTGTGAATATGGCAAAAAAAAAAAAAAGGTGGTGGTGGGGTGGTGATGGTGAAGCCTTTAAAAATAAGCATCTTGGATAAATTCAGGTGCAAACAGACACCACACAAGAGGAAGTAACAAGATGACATGATGAAGATGAGTGCTTTTGAACAGGGGCCAGACGATCAGAAAGACAACATATAAGCAGCAATGCCAGAAAACAAACTAACATTAAAAACTTAGAAATTCTGGCAGAAAGGTTCCAATTATTCAAGACTGCTTTTGACTTCCTTTTATGACAGGAACCCTTCTATGATATCTGCCCTGAAACTAAAGCAAATGGTTAAAGTGTAGAAACATTTGTAGAGAAACGAAAAAGCAAAAAAGAAGTCAGGCAGAAATTGTATTTCTGTAAAGCTACGCCAAATGTTCCTGCCACTCCTTCTACCTCTGTCACCCCCTGAGATAAGAGTAACGATTCTTCTTCTTCCTCCTCCTTAGCCTACTCAATGTGAAGAAGAGGACAAAGACCTTATAACGATCCACTTACACTTAATGAATAGTAAATATATTCTCTTCCTTATGGTTTTTTTAAATAAATTTTCTTCTCTCCAGATTATTTTACTGTAAGAATACAGGATATAATACACATATAAAATATGAATTAGTTGACTTTATGTTATTGATAAAGCTTCTGGTCAACAGCAGGCTATTAGTAAAGTTTCTGGGAAGTTAAATGCAGGTTTTTGTTTGTGAGGGGGAGGTGGTGCCCCTAACCCTACCATGTTGTTCAAGGGCCAACTGTACATTCTTGAAAGAAGGTATGAAGTAAGAGTGGTTTATACTATGAGTTGAGACAATAAGAGATTAATGCTAGGCCAGGCGTGCTGGCTCAAGCCTATACCCAGCACTTTGGGAGGTGGAGATGGGTAGGTCACTTGAGGTCAGGAGTTCCAGACCAGCCTCGCCAACATGATGAAACCCTGTCTCTACTAAAAATACAAAAATTAGCCAGGCCGGTGGTGGCGCACACCAGTCCCAGCTACTCAGGAGGTCAAGACAAGAGAACTGCTTGAACCCAGGAGGCAGAGGTTGCAGTGAGTTGAGATCGCACCACTGCATTCCAGCCTGGGCAACAAAGTACGACCCCGTCTCAAAACCAAAAAAAAAAAAAAAAAGATTGATACTACTGGCAGGAATGTTTTCTTCTAATTCTTCTAGATAGCAGACAATGAAATATGATTTATCTCAATCCTACAGCCAGAGATAATTATTATAACAAGTCAAACCATCAAATTCCAAAAGATGAGAGCCACTTGGTCATGATAAAATACTTTAAGTTAGAAGGGCCATTCTAACATAATCAATGCTATTATTTTATTGTAGGGTGAAACAGGGTGTGGTTAGTTGATAAGCTGGGAAGATACTAAAGGTAAAGGTCTTCAAATCTCTCTTTAAGTATTTAAATTTCTTCTGGGCAATTAACAAATCTTAAGTATTAACTGCTAGGTAATATATATTTTTTTCATTTCTCAAAAATCAGTTATAACCCTATCAAGTATTTATTATTCTTATCTTCATAGATGAAGAAACCAAGTAACTGACTTTCCCAAGTGCACATATTAAAAGCTGCTGAGGGAACTGAACACGGGTATATCTAAGTCCAGTCTATATTCTTTCTACTATACCACACCTAACCATATAAACGAGAAATGGAAAGCACCACGGCAAGGGCTCAATCCAGATTTGGCTCATTTCCACCCAGCCTTGGATTCAAGTGCCAAGAGGGCCCCATTTATATAATATACTAACCTGAAACACCTGTAAGAATTATTCCATGAGTGAATTTTTAACCTAAAGCCACATGCTGTATTTCCTTATGTTTCAAAACAGAACTAGAGAAATTTTATTGTGATTAAAAACCGGAAAATAAATGAGATTTTAAAATTGTATTTAAGAAATTTAGAATGTTTACATTCCAAAACAGTTTACTCATTTTTAAATCAACACTGTGTATTAATGCCTAGATTTTTCTTTCTTATTCTAGTCATCTCTGTTTACTCCATCTACATATGTTTTTTCCTGGCTTACTGATTTCAAAGCAGACATCAGCCACTGGTGCACTGACAGAAAGGATAAAAAATATTAGGCTTTCACAGAATTTCTGCAGATATTAAAATTTTGGAGCAAAACAAAAATAGAATCACAAAGTAATGTCATCAAAGTTCAAAGTATAGGCATTAGGTGAATTAGTTCTGCTTCTTAAAAACATTAAGACTTTGCTCAGACATAAGTTTGAGAAGGTGAAAGGATGGTTTCTCTGAAAACACAGCTCTTAAAACTAGTGCTTATTAACTTAATGATCTCTATAGCTAAGAATTAGCTCAACATTTAAGTTTAAATAAATATGGTGAACTCTGAAGAATAAATAAGTGGTAGCTAGCTGATAAAGAAGGGGCAGGAGAAACGAGTACATGTACATGTCTTGAGAATTGAAAGAAAGAAGATAAACATGACTGCAGCAGAGAAAACATGACAAAACCCATCATTTATCATGCCGAGGAGGCATAAAAAAGTCTAACAAGGTCCTTCCAGGATTTTGAATCTTATCCTAATAGCCACAGACAGAGTTTAAACAGAACGGTGACATGATCAGATTTGCATTTTTAATGTTCATGTTGGCTGCAGGCTAGACAATGAGCTAGGTAGGGGCAAGAGTAGATGCTAGGTAACCAGCTAAAAACCTACTCCAATATGCCAGGCAACAGATAATAATGGCTTTAAAGAGGGTAATACCACTGAATATGGAAAGAATTAGAGATATAAGAAATACTTAGGAAACAGACGAGACAGGACTAGAGAATAACTTAACAGGGATAGAGGGAGATGCCAAGGATTTGGGATTCTAGATTTCTGACTTGAACAATTGGACTGATGATGAAAACAAAGAAAAAGATCAGGGTTTTTTGTTTCTTGAAGAGACACTAGAGAGAATATGTGTTCTGCTTTGACCAAGTCTGAGATTACTGCTGAGTAAAACATCAACAGGCCTAAAGTTCAAAGGACAGGGCGGGCTACAAACATAAAATTGGGAATTGTCAGCACATAAAAACAAACTATTATTGTCTAGATTTAGCTTGGTTCATATAAAATGGATCATTTTCAATATTTATGAAATGTGTTGTTTTTGGCTATCCCCAACATCTGGCTTATTCATTGATTTCTCTCTTCCAGCAGCAGTTTTGCATTAAAAAATATATTAAAAACAACCACAGTACAATCTTGTTCTGTTCATATCACTTTTTCTGGGGCATGAAAGACATATACAAGCGTAGCACTAATATTGAGAACACGTTTAAGAAAAGGAAAGAGCAGAGAAAAATATTTGTGTATAAATTTATTGTAGCCTAAGTATACAGTGTTGATAAGGGGACCCATGCAGTTTCATCACCTGCTGGTGCTCTCTGAGCATCTGGTGGCTGCTGGGGACAGACAGATAAACTTAGAGTTTCATTCAAAACAATAGAACACACACCAACTTAGCAACTGTGAAATATGTAATACATTATTATTAACTGTGGTCACCGTGCAGTGTGATATAGTTTGGATGTTTGTCCTCTTCAAATCTCATGTTGAAATGTGATCCCTAATATTGGATGTGGGAGGTGTTTGTGTAATGGGGGTGGATCCCTCATGAATGGCTTGGTGCCATCCCTGTGGTAATAGGTGAGTTCTCTATTGCTTCATGTGAGACCTGGTTGTTTAAGAGCCTAGCCCCTCCTCCCCTCTCTCTCGCTCTCACTCTGTGACACACCTGCTCCACCTCCACCTTCCACCACAAGCGAAAGCTTCCAGGGGCCTCACCAGAAGTCTAGCTGATGCTGGTGCCATGCTTGTACAGCCTGCAGAACCATGAGTCAGAAAAAACTCTTTTCTTTACAAATCATTCAGTCTCACATATTCCTTTCTAGCAACTCAAAAGGGACTAATACACAGTGCAATAGATCATTAAAACCTACTCTCCCAATTTAACTGAAAGTCTGTATGTACCTTTTCATCTCCATCTCCCCTTTTCTCATTCCACCTCCTAACCCCCCAGCGTTCGGTAACTACATTTCTATGAGACAGTTATTTAGATTACACACAAGCGAGATCATACAGTGTTATCCTTCTGTGCTTGGCGCATTTTACTTAGCATAATGTCCTCTGGTTCCACCCACGTTGTCACGAATGACAGAATTTCCTTCATTTTAAAGATCATCTGTTTGATACCTTAGAACATTCTGGTCAAAGTAATGATATAATGAAATTAGCTGGTTGCTCTTAACTAGAAAACATGAAGTGGATAAAGAAAAGGATGTGCAGACTGGACACGGTGGATCATGCCTATAATCCCAGCACTTTGGGAGGCTGAGGCAGGGAGATCATCTGAGGTCAGGAGTTTGAGACCAGGCTGGCCAACATGGTGAAACTCCATCTCTACTAAAAAAATACAAAAAATTAGGCAGATGTGGTGGTACACCACCTCTAATCCCAGCTAATCAGGAGGCTGAGGCAGGAGGATCACTTGAACCCAGGAGGCAGAGGCTGCAGTGAGCCGATATCACGTCACTGCACTCCAGCCTGGGCAAGAGTGAAATTCAGTCTCCAAAAAAAAAAAAAAAAAAAAAAGATGTGCTCAGGGGTTCAAATTCCCAGCTCGAGCATCACAAAAATTACCTCAAAGTTTCTGTGTCTTTCCTGAAAACAATACTTACCTACTACAGCTGCAAAACTGAGATTGCTGAAAACCAAACCCAGGCTGACCTGGCTACAGCCACTGCTAATTGCCTAATATGCCAGCAGCAGAGACCAACACCGAGTCCCTGATATGGCACCATTCCCTGGGGTGATCATCCAGCTCACCTGGTGCAAGGTTCGCTACATTGGACCACTTCCATCATGGAAGTGGCAGTGCTTTGTTGTTACTGGAATAGACTCTAGATACAAATTTGTCTTGCCTGCATAATGCTTCCTACATACATTGCATAATGCTTCCTATATACAAACACAAATTGTATGTCTGAGTCCATTTACACAAAATGTCCAGAAAAAAAACAAATCTATACAGACAGAAAGTAGATTAATGGTTGCCTAGGGTTGGGGGTGAGAATACGGATTAACTATAAACAGGCATGAAGGACATTATTAGGGTGAAGAAAAAGTTCTAAAACTGTATTGTGATAGGTGTGCAATTCATACAATGTACCAAGATCCCTAAATTGTACATTTGAAATGGGTGAATTTTATGATGTATAAATTACATCCCAATAACACTATATTTCAAAAATATACATCACAGTACTAGTCATAAAGACTAATAACTGAAAACTGCCCAAACATCCATCAACAGTAAAACAGTTAAACTGTGGTTATATTCCCACAATGGGACACTATACAACAACTAAAATAAACGATCTATGACAAACACAGCATTTGTCACAAATGATGAGCAAAATAAGCGAGACACAAAAGAGTGCCTACTGTATTATCCCATTTATGTAAAATTCAAAAATTGGCAAATCTAATTTCTGCTAAAGTCAAAATAGTGGTTACACTTGGGGGCGGTTGACTTGAAGGAGCATAAGGGAGTTTCCAAAACAATTATGTTTTATTTCTTCAGTTGTGTAAATGGTTACATGATTGGGCTCACCCTGGGTCCACCCACTTATAAAATAAAGAAGGGGGAGGAGAAACAAGAGTACATGTATATGTCTTATAATATGTGCATTTCTGTATACGTATGGTACATTTTAATAGGATTTCTCTAAAAATCACCTGTAATCTCAGGAAAAAAAAAAAACCCAGAAATATCAAATGCCCTTCAGTTAGGTAACGGTTAAATAATAGAATATAAATGTACAGTAGCCATGACTGGATATCCACAAAGCATCTAGGCACCTCTTCTTTCTTAAAGAATCAATCCCACTCTTAAACACAGTGGGAATCCCAATTAAGCTAAGCTAACAGCATCAAAAAATATGAAATACTCAGGGATATATGGGATAAAAAATTTGAAAGACCTATACACTGAAAAGTACAAAACATTGCTGAGTAAAATTAAAAACCTAAGTAAATGGAGCAGTATATCTTGCTTATAGGGTTGTAAATACTAATATAAATTTTATTTTGATTTTATGACTTCGATTTTCTATTTTTTGTTGCTGATATACAGAAATACAACTGATTGATTATACTGTGGGGGTGGTTTCAAGACACCTTGCAGTTACTGCCTTCAGGATTTTGGAACACTGCGCCACAACCACCATAATATAAAACAAGTCTGAACTGAATGACCAATGAGGAGGGGGGAATGGCCCAACCAGTAAATAATAAATTGCTGTGTTTTAAGCCACTAAATTTTTAGATGGTTTGTTATGAAGCTAAAGAAGCCTTTGCCCGGATAGCATTAGATTATTCAGGCTGGTTTTAATTCAGAGGAATTTCTTCTTTCTTGAACTTAACAGTCAAGGGGCAATATTACTTTTTGTCACAGATTCTTATCCACTAAGGCTCATTTCAAAATGAAGATACAAGCAAGTCTCTCTTAAAGGTTTTGGATTTGTACTGGCTGAATATGGCTTTCCCCACTAAGGATTTTAAGTTTCCTCTGCTTCAGTTTTCTTCTATCAGGGCATTCTGCTTTAACTCTCAAGTGGTCTTGGCAGGAAAAGGGATCTCAATGTAAAATAATATATATAGCAGAATAAACTTATAACTGTGTCGAAGATGGCAATAAGTTGAGCTGTAATAGGCAAATTATTATAAAGTTAAGACTCATTTACCTGATAGGTAATCCCATAACTGAAATAAGCTGATGATCAAGGCTTTTTAAGCCTACATCACAATTCACATATTATAAGTGACATATATCTTTATTTGTAGGAAATTAATAATGGAAAAGAACCAAAGGAGGTTTGGATGTCTGAACTAGCAATACGGATTAAAGGATCTGGGCCATACCCAACATGGAACAAGATGTCTGAGTAAATTATTCTCATACTAAGAGAAATAATACAGTTACTGCTACCTTAAGATAAAAGATTAGGAAGGAAGGACAAACAAAAATGTCTATCTACTGTATTTAGCCTTTGAGGCTTGAACATTATATTGTCAGAAACTTGAGTTTCTGAAACCTAACTGAACTACTCTGTGTATTTCTATCACTAGCTGCACTTTGTTTTCCATAAATAATTAAAGTTTGCTTTGAAATATTAGCCAATCTCAGTAGTATTAAGAGAAGCCAGGGAAAGAGGCTTTTGTTGTTGTTGTTGTTTTTAACTTACATTTAAATTTAGAACAGTATCATTTAATTGGTAAAGGGGAATATTTCAGTTAAAACTAACAGGCTGGGTGTAGTGGCTTATGCCTATAAATTCCAGCACTTTGGGAGGCCGAGGCAAGAGGACTGCCTAGCCAGACCAGGCTAGGCAACACAGTGAGACCCTGTCTCTACAAAAAAATCAAAAACAATTAGCTGGAAATGGCGGCACACTTCTGTAGTCCCAGCTACTTGGGAAGCTGAGGCAGGAGGATGGCTTGAGCCCAGGAGATCAACACTGCAGTGGGCCATGATCACACCACTGCACTCCAGCCTGGGCAATAAAATGAGACCCTGTCTCAAAAACAAACAAAAAAAACCTTAAAAGCCTATCTGAGTGTTAAGACTGGGCTTATACACGCCCTTTCTCACCTACAGATTTTCCTTCCAGAACTCTTTTTCTATTCAAAACCTAAAAGATTTTATTTTGACTGGGAAAACTAGGTCATTAGCAAGGAGATTCAAAATCTTTCAAGAAAGAATTGTGAAGACAATGTTCTCAGTATCTTCTCGATTCTTCCTTTTGTACACAAACTCAAATGGTAAGAATTACAAGTTAGATTTTTCTCACTGGAATGGGAAAAAAAGCATAAAAATGTGTCTTCTGTATTTTTAGAAATAATAAAAATATTCTTTAAATATACTAGAAAGAAAGAAAAACCAACAAAAAAGTATACTATAAAACAGACACATCTGTAAAGGAAGTAAAAACAGTCAATGTTATATTGAGGTTGCAAGTTGACAAGAGGCCAAGATGAATGGGATACAAGAGACTGATTTGAGAGGATACGATAATCAAAGATATTTCAATACATGAAAAATAAAACTGTTGAAATCTATGAAAACTGTTAATAACAAATTAATTCTAATTTTAAAACATGGAGCACAGAGGCATAAGCTATAAATTAGACTGTATCAATATAAGAAAAAAACTGAGGATGTCATCCAGACAGGAGGAAAAATAATCAAAATAAACTAATACTTTAGTAATAATTACAGATAGTATGCTGATTATGATAAACTAGGTAAGGTAAATACTTAACAGTTAAGCTCCAAATAATCTAAGTAAATGCTGAGATCTGTTATGAATTTATCTGATGACTGACTTCTTTTTTCCTGACTACACAAGTTAGAGACTCACAGTAATCACTGTCAAACATCACTATTTCATAAGAGCAACTGAAAAGAGTAAAATGATTTTGAATAAAAGGTTGAGATCCAGAGTTTTATACAATCAAATTTTCAAGCATGCAGTATTTCCAAGTATGTTTTCTGTAAACTCCAGTTTTACGAAATGCTCTTTAAAAAGGGGGTCTTATAAGTCAAATAGGTTAGGTAATCGCTGCAAAATTTTGGTATTTACACTGCACATTACTCAAAAATCAAAGTTTCTGAGAAGTTCTGCAATAAATAACCTATCTAACATTAATAACTGAAGCACTGCCCACATCTACTTGATTCTACAGTATTTATTATCATTCCATTAAACATTTAAAACATACTTTAATAAACATTAAGGTATTCTGGTCTCCATTTTTATGTTTTATCTTGAGAGGCAGTTTTAACTATTATTCCTCACTAAGGACATAACAGATGGGAGAAAAAAAAATTAGGCTTCATAACATGTCTAGTCAGAGGTTAGAAAGTGAAATAAGTTAAAATGAACACTGGGATAACTAAAAATTACGTGTAGGTAGACTATTCTTTTACTTTATAATCAAAGTACAACACTGGTTCAAAACAGAGAAACAATGAAAACATAAAGCCAAGTTAAAAAGGAACTAGATCTCCATCCCTTAAGATTTCTACTAACACTCTTGGAAACTCCACAATCATGAAGATAATCCTCTGCCAGTGGTAAACTAAGCTTTCAAGTTTGAAGTAATTTTTCCTTTTTAACTTTTGTGTGGAATGTTCCTTGTCCAAATTAACTATCTGCATATTCAGGTGTAATCTCAAATGTCACCTCCACCAAAAGGTCTTCCCTTATCATTTCATCTAAACTTAGCTTTCTCAGCTCCAACTTCATCAAACATTATTACACTGTTTTGACTTCTTCATTTATTTGATTACCAGTAGAATCCAGTGCCTAGAATAGCGCCAGACACATAGTGGATGCTCAACAATTACCTGTTGAATGAATTAACACTATTTTAGCATAGTAGCTTTCCATTTGTTTTATACACCAATCACGGTTAAAAAAGGGTAGCAAAAACAGGAACTAATACTCATGTTTATTATTTCAGTTTGAAAAAAATGAATGTAGCACTTTGCAACTTAACTTTTTTTTTAAGTTGCAACTTTGCAACTTAATTTGCAGCTTTGCAAATTAATGGAAAGTTGCCTACTCTGTGTGTGCAATATTGTTTATGTGTATGTCAAAGGTTCTTCTCTTCAACTCAAAGAAGGCATACAATTTCTAGATGGTTTGAGTAAATAAGAGTAAAAACAATCCTGAAGATATCTTTTCAGCATTAATATAACAGAAGGCCAGTCTTACCTCTAAAAAATAAAACCTGTTTAAAGTTTTGAAAAACCCTTAACTTCTGAAATGAACATGAGTTATTTCAGTTAAAATTTAGCAGACTGAACATGAGGACTATTCCAGAGTACCAGAATAACTGAGAAGTTAAATGACCAGAAGAAAAGTAATTAAGGTGAATTCTAAATACGAAACACAACAGGAAAAAGTGACTACCCGAGCCTCCATTTCTTTATTCATTCATCTTGTATGAATGTTACAGTTCTTATATACCTATCTACTGTTCATAGAGTTGAACAGCTACCTTAATGGGTAAACTAACAGAGATGAAGATTGGCATTTGAGAATATCTAGATCCAGGGCCTTTAAACAGTAAAGTGGGATTGATCTTCGGATCAAATTATCCAGAATGTAGTTTTAATCTCTCCACAGCTGCACAACCACAAAACATGCCAATAAGTCAACTTCTAGTTTAAAACATTTACACACGAGGCAGGCGGATCACTTGAGGCCAGGAGCTCGAATCCAGCCTGGCTAAACCCTGTCTTTACTCAACAAACAAAAAAAAGACGTCTACCCAAAGGTCATCTACTTTTCTCTCCAAAAGGGGCTCCAAATTTCCACCTTTCTTCAAGTTCGCCTCAAGGCAACCCATAGTGATTTCTTTGGACACGTAAGGTAATTTCAGCTCTGACAAAAGCAGGTTGCTTTTTGTTTTAATCAGAATGCTCTAGACTTGTTACCTGTCTCTATATTTTCTCCACATCATAAAATCTCCAAATTGATCTCTGAATAAGAAATGTGAGACCTTCCATTTTTGGCAGACATAACCTATTTTCTAAGTAACAACAACAGGAACAAAAAACTTGCTAGACAAAATAATCATGCCAAGGTTTCTAAATAAAAAAAAAAAAATGCCAGGTATGAAAAACCTCTGCCTGCTATACTATGAAATATTAGACTCACATTCCAAAATTCAGAGAAATAAGAAACCTTAGCATTGAAACCTAATTATTTACAAAGCAGCCACCACCAATGCAAGTTATTGGTTCTTAAATTACACTATCATTCTTCCATATGGCACAAAATCCAGGCTTTAAACTTGCCTTATACGTTCTCGAAGAATTATTTATCAAGAACAGAAAAACCTTAAGATTCTCATGTACATGTAATACATACACTGATATATAAAATGCATATACATATATTCTTTTATAGAAATAGTAGCAGGCTATAAGCAGACCTTAAAAGCTATGGATACTAGGTGGATTCTAGGAGTTTGGAAACTGGCTGTGTCAAGCCTGGGTCAAGGTCACACGTAATAAAAGAAATGTGCCTAAAAGTATATTTGTTCAGTTTTAAGGAGGATGCTGTGTGTTTGAATTTAACATCAAGGAACACAGCCAAAAACTAGAAAAAAACAAAAATGAAACGAATAAGCAACTGGTCCAACACGTTAGGGCAATTTTAATAACCTAATCTGCAAAGCCAGAATAAAGTATTTTAAAAGTTATTGAAAAAGTGAACATTAGCTTCCTGTCATAATCCAGGAAAACAGAAAACTATAATACATACATCTGGTGTGCTAACACTCAAACTTAAAGGAAAATGACCTAATATTGACCTAATTTAATTATTCACCAGGCTGAATTCTTAGAACACTCAGCATTCTTCACCCTGTAATTTTAATCTGTATTTCTACTAGCATAAAAATTTTTGCCTTCACTTTACTCTGTATACTGTGTATCATTCCAGTCTGTTACCTCATTTAAAAATAAAAGGCTTAAAAAAGTTACTATAAATTACCATCAAACAATCTGATTTGCCTTTATTAGGTTTCTAAATAATGCCAATATACTCTATTATCCAAACGTGCTGTCGTCTAAATATTTTCTAACTCCAGTAATTTTTTACCAAATAAAAATTCCTTTTAAATGGGAACCAATTTGAATGATGAGGCTTTCTAACAGATTAAAAGATAATCAGTGTAATGTACGCTAGAGGTAAGGATGACCAAGTCTTACCTTTATCAGTTGTTACTTTTTCTATGCATCTGAAAGAAATAAGAATCAAACATTAATGAACAATCTAGCACATTTTCTGAAAATATAAATATCTCTTTCAGGTTCACCTCCAGAGTGATAAAGAAAGCATCTAGACTAGTGTTGTCCTACAGAATTTTCAGCAGTGATGGAAACATATCTGCACTGTCCAATATGGCAGTCACATGTGGCTACTGAGCACTTGAAACAGTTCATGTAATTGTGAAACTGAATTTTTAATTTTGATTAATGTAAATTTAAATAGCCACATGTGGCTACATAACTGACAGCACAGAGCTAGAATATCATTCAAAACACCTATTTTTAACTAAGATATTGATACAAAGAAAATATTACTAATTTTGTTACATTAAGTGATTATATAAGAAAATGTTCTTATTTTATATAAATGTACTAACTAGAGATGAAATGATGTTTGGGATGTGCTCCAAAATACTTCTGCCAAAACAGGGAGGATGGACATAGCAAGCATGGCAAAATCTCAGCTAGGTGATCAATACTGGGGTTTCATTATACTATTTTCCCTATTTTGTGTATATTTAACAATTTTCATAATAAAAACTCAATGAAGTGTTAAAAAGACCCTAAAATTGTTTGTTAAGACCAAATCAAAATCTACTTGTAAAAAGACAATAGGTGGACCTCACAAGTAAATGTAACTTGCCCTTTACAAATTAAAAAGCAACAGTAAAGAGCTTAAAAATTGTTATAGCCTGAAGATTTTTTTAAAAACCCCCAAAACAACAAAAATCAGACATATCCCCAGGTTTTTCATTCAGAAAAATTTCTCTCATACGTAACTGGTGAGGACAGTATAATGAACTTCCTATACTTACTACTAAAATTCAAAAGTCAACAGGCCCTGAACATTTATCATATAGATACCACAGAGTATCTCTGAACAGTACAAAGTTTTTTTGTTGTTGCTCCTCCCAAAAGTAAACCTAATATAGTAAAGACTCTATTATGTTACAATATGTTATAAATAAATACCCAGACAAATACAGAAGCCACAGTGTAATACAAAAATCTATTCTACTTAGAAACAATAGTTATCACTGTTTGTTCCATACTTTTTTAAAAAAGACTGGTATTATAATTTTATTTTAAATCACATTACCAATGTCCCAATTAACACACCATAACTGCTAATCATCCCATCTTTAAATAAAAACTGCAGAAATAATTGCTAAATTTTTGAAAAATTATATAACAAACTTTTCCAAAAACCTTGAAAGTTGGTTCAATGTTTCTATCATCATACTGATTAAGATCCTGATCACAGGATTTCAGTCTTGTACAACTGAAGGCTTCTCCAAAGAACTGTAAGTTTTTTCAATTCAGAATATTACCACCTCTTCATCCTCACTATCCATGACCTTCAAAAGGGAAACAGCAAGAAAGGTCACCTAAAGGTTTATTACTGTTTTAATTTTAGCAAGAAAATATACCAAAAATGGAATTTCACATACTAGAAAATAAAACTACTTTCCTTAATCTGAACCTGAAGGAAGACATCTAAAAATACTCAGTATTAGCTAATATGGTTACTCAACAGCGAAGTTAGAATTTTTAAAAAGTATTTGTCCCTAAAGTTTTAAGTTTTGAAATGCACAGGATAAATGAAGGGCTATTACATGTAAGAATGAAAAAAAGCCTTATACATTTTAACCTAGTCTTAATTTGACAATTTCATTCCCTACTAGCAGAACGCATGGATGAATCAGAAAAAAATCATAGGCAAAAACTAGTATACTAATGCTACTAGATTTTACTTCAAAAATTAAAGACAGTATATAAACGTGCACTTGAAATAACTGTAATTTACTGGCTAACATACAGCAAATGATCAGTCTTACTCTTAGTATGGATACATAAACTTTCTTCAAATTTGGTTTATTTTTCCTACTAGCTTTCTATGCTTCAATTTATCATGATTCTAGCATTTAACTCTGTGCTTCTCTTGAGCACAATGAAAAATTTTTATTTCCCCTTCATCCACAAATATTTCCTCTTCCCAATAACCCCTAAATAGTTCATTGTGAAAAGAAGTTGTTATAAACATCAGATTATAAAAACTGTAAGCTAAATATGTCATCTCGCAAATTCATAAAATATCAATTATAAATGAAGCAATTATAAATGAAGAGGTTAAGTGACTTGCTCAAGGCCACTTACTGCACAGTACAAAGCTGGAACATAAAACTTTCTGACTAAAGTCCAATGCTTTATCCACTCTATTATTTTGCCTTCCAATGGGAACAGAGGTTTCAACCAATCCAAATCTATCTATTTCTTGACCTTTTAAACTATGGTATACTTTACTATCACTTTAATTAAGAAAATCAAATGTAGGTTAAACAGCTGATTACTAAGATTGTATACAGGGAAATGCTGGGATATGGAAAAAGGACTAGCGCGAACAAGTAAGTAATACAGAATAAACCTTCCTTTTTAAAATTTTCAAAATGTCATTTGGAAAACAGAAATGACTCAAAGTCAAAGATACCAGACCAGGGTTTGGACTCAAAACCTCTTGAAATATCTTAAAGGATTAAATTATGTAGAAAAAATTAAGTCTTAAAATGTATTTTATGACTGAAAATCTGTATACCATACACACATTTGACATATCTCCACTAATTAATGCATCTTTGCCTTACACCCCAAGGTCCTTGAAGATGAGGGCCATGTCTCATTTTTCTTTCTACCACCTAGTTCAGCATAGTACCAGGCCCAGATACTGATGAAACAAGTTTGCCAAGCTAAAATGCTTTAGCATTCCTCTGATTTCCAGATTATGGAATAAGGTAAAAATGTGTAACAAAAACTCTATTATGACGAAAATTTGTTTAACAACCTGATCAAAAACACAGTCAAGAGATAATTTTGGGGCTGAAAGAAGAATGCCATTGTCACTACTGTTTTCTAATGATATTGGATGGGAGGCGGGTGGCGCTAAGAATTCAGCCTTATTTCTTCCTCCCCACAAGGAACATTGTGCAGAAAAAAGGAAGGAATTTAATTAAGTCATCTTCATCCATATACAACAGTAACAGTTATATGGAATTAAAGCGTCACTAGTACTTTGTTGCCAAGAGTTAGGGCAAAAATAAATCATGACAGCAGGTAAAATTACTGTTTTAGATAAAAATTATTTATTTTCCTTCAAAAATTAAACAGCAGGCTGGGCGCAGTGGCTCACGCCTGTAATCCCAGCACTTTGGGAGGCTGAGGCGGGTGGATCACCTGAGGTCAAGAGTTGGAGACCAACCCGGCCAATATGGTGAAACCTCACCTCTACTAAAATTACAAAAATTAGCTGGGATTGGTGGCGGGCGCCTGTAATGCCAGCTGCTTGGGATGACGAGGCAGGAGAATTGCTTGAAGCCAGGAGGCGGAGGTTGCAGTGTGCAGAGATCATCGTGGCACTGCTCCAGCCTGGGCAACAGAGCAAAAACTCCATCTCCAAAAAAAGAAATTAAACAGCAGGTACCATTTTAGACATAATTATCTTATCTTGAGATATAGGTATATTTAATTTTCAAGGGGTAGGTGAGAATAAAAGGAAATTTTAAAAATATTTTAAGTATTACCCTCTCTACGAATAGTAATATTAAAGAGTGAAAAAATCATATTTTGCATAATTTATATGAAAAACCTCACTACAAACCACTCAAGGATCTACCATCCCACCATTACTGAAAAACGCAACTTGTACTTAGTATTTACAACAGGCATTGTGTCTAGCACTTTACACACTGTATTTAATTCTCACAAACTCACGTTGCAGAGATTATCCTCTATAGGTAAGGAAACTAAGGCATGGGTAGGTTAAGGAATTTGCTCACGGAATTCATATCCAAATGAGGTCAATGATATACATGTATCTTTTCAAATTCATGAGATTAAACAATATAGAACTATAAAATTTTTGTAAGATGAAATGCATCTACAGCAATTAGAAGTCTAATTGCAGCTGAATCTGTAAGTACAGATTTTTGCTGTCGACAGAACTGCAGTTCTTACAACAAATTCTCTAAATTATGTTAACTTAGCTGACATTCAAAAATTTGAAAGCATATCTAATACCACAATATGATTACCTCTGAATTTTATTTCTCTTTCTGAGAGGCTTCTAAGGCAAGCATGCCAAGACACAGGCTTAACTCTTAATTTTGGACCAAGTCTGTTTCAAGTTTTAAATCTATTAGGTCTGGTGTAAGTCAAACCTTGCCACTATCTCTACTGGAAGAAAGGGAACACTTAAAACTGACTCCCCCTCACTTCAATTTTCTCTGTTTTTACTAATCTGTTTTCACTCAAAAATCAAAGGTCACTAATGATGTTTTCAGTCATGAATTGAATAGTCAATGTGATTAATTTCTAGAATTTACAAACTTGTGTGCTTCAGTATTCTTAACATGAGTATTATTTTAACGAACAATTTAAGACAATGCTCCTGGCCACCTGTTCATGTTTCCTCTATTACGTCTAGGTAATAAAGGAATTCCTCTCAGATGATTCTAATTTCAAGGATGAAGTTCCTACATTTAAAAACACGAAACACAAAGATAAAACATATGCTACTTAGTAAAAACAAACATTAAAGAATGCTCATATAATTTTATATGAAAGACTCCATACTTAAAATCGTAGCAGTGGGCTTTTAACCTGACCATAATAAGTGGCAAATTTCTCAAAAGAATGAGAAGGGTTGCGAAAAATTTAGAAAAGTGAAAAAAAAAAAAAGCTACATAAACACACTAGTACATCTGGCTCTTGAGCTAACGCGAAGGCGGGGGGGAATCATTTTTGAAGGCTATGATCGGGCTGTGTATTCCCTAAAGGGCATGTGATGTAATACTGGAGAGCCGCCTAAAGGAAAGGGATAGGGTGACAAAGGGGGTGCGGATGCCAGAAAGAGGGATGAGCCTGCGGGTGTCAGGGAGGAGGTGGATCACTAGCGAGTGCAGGGGTGTATCAAAAGATGATTTCGGGGAGTGGGGAAACGGCCCGACAAGCGAAGGTACAGGAGCGAGATGAGGGTGGCGCAGAGAGGAGGCACGAAGGCTCCCGGGGAAACGGTGTGACATCTGGCGTGCGGAGCCGGCAGGGGGCAGACCAGGCAGGATGTCACGTGGAGTAGGCGCTACGGGAGCCGAGAGGGTTGCGTACGGACAGAGGGGGGTCTTTCCCACCGCCTGAAAGACTGTTACTCACAGGAGTCGCGGACTCTTCTTGCCCTGAACTGGAGACGGGGACTTCGCGGCCTGGGGCTGCTGCCCGGGGACGTCGGGAGGCCTGGCGCTGGGGCTGCTCCTCCGCCGGCGGGGATACTCGGCCTTCCTCCGGCGGGACACAGCTGCGGCGGCGGCGGCCGCAGCGGCCCGGCCTCGGTCCCGACCTCCCCTCAGCACGCGGCTGCTAGTGGTCCCTGCAGGCGCCGCCGCGACCGCCTCAGGGGGCCGTTGTTGGGGCTCCTCCGGAGCCGCCTTGGCCGCCTCTCCCCCTTCCTGGTCCTGCTGCTCCGGGGGTCTCGGCTCTTCCGTCTCCCCCGGCATCGGGGCTTGTCCGTCCCCCACCCCCTAGTCCTAGGCGGCGGAGGCGGAGGCGGCGGCCTCGGCGCTGCTCCCCCCGCCCCCTCGCCTCCCGAAGCCTGCGGCTCACTCTCACCCTGCGCTCCTCTTTCCCCCCTCCCCTCCGCCCGGCTCCGAGGGCGCCCCCCCCACCCCCTGCCACTCAAGGTCCGCTACCGCTGGCGGCGCGCGCGCGCGCGCCACAGACGCTCAGCGGGCCAATCGGAAAAGAGGACAAGCCTCCTCACCCCGCCCCTCGCAGTCTTACACGCAGCGGCGCCCCAGGTTCCCTCCCCCACCCCTTCCTTCAGCCAATCAGGAAACGGCTAAAAGGGGAGCGCGCGAGGTTTCCTTCCCCGCGCACCCGTTCTCACCGTTAAACGGCTGTGTCTCGCGACAATCCCAAAGTGACCTTTTTCCCCCCTCCAGACTTCAACGCGCGCTAGGGGCAGTGCGAGGGGCAGGTCTCGCGAGGGAGGCGGGTGAGAAGAAATCGCACCTCTTTCCCCGCCTCACGCAAACCCTAGACTGGCTGCGCGCGCACCTGCCTCCCTGAGGAGCCACTGATACCACAAGGGCTCTTTCTATTCTTCTTTAGGCCGCAGAAGTAGCCTGGGCGTTCTTCCGCCTCCACCCTACCCCACTTTCCTGTCTTTGGCCTTTCTGTCCCCAGCGCCGCCAGATCTTGCGCGGAGAAGGGGGTAGTATTTTGAGCTGTCGCTTCTCCTTTAAGAAAAAAAGCCCCGTCGGTTGCCGGATGAAAGTCTCTGAAAAAATGGCGGCGGCAAAACGGAGGCGGGGTTGTGGGGGCAACGAGGGCCCGCCTCTTGGCGCATGCGCACCGTTAACTTAACCAAGGGCATTCTGGGAGATGAAGTCTTATTTCGCCTAGGCTTTAGGAAAAATAGATGGGAAACCAGAGGTGGAGAGGATGCCGGGAGGTTCTAACTGAGTCACGACGGGAAAGGTAGTTTACTTTCCGCAGTCTAGAGTTTACCTTTTTTTCGGGAGGCAGTGTTTCCGGGTTAGGTCGCGACGCGTGCCGTACATCCGGGCTCAAGCGTCGAGCCAATTGCTGGTCTGATGGGAGGGTTTTTCCTACTTTTTCTTACTTTTTATCTGGGCGTTGGCGTACCTTTCTCGGGGTGTCTGCGTAACTGCCCAGACTTGCCTTGGTTTGGTCAGATGACACCTCCTCTGGGACTGGCTAGCCAGCGTTCATGTCTACATTATTGATCTCGTCTTCCGGTGTGTGAGTCACTCACCTGTGAGCTCCTAGAGGTCAGCGACTAAATCTGGTTCCATGGGGTCCTTGGGCCCTCGGAGCCCTAGCACAAGGCCCACTACTCAGTTGGCTCTTAATCAAATCTGTGAAACGAATTATAAAGTTGCTTTTCTACTAGACCTTGTTGGGACACCAAGGAGCCGGCGTCGGTTGCTTAACTTGGATGCGGTGCCTGACCTAGAGGGAGGCGAAAGGGTTGTGAGCGTGACATGACTGGTGACCTACACCGAGAAGCTGAAGGGTCTCTTAAGCTCTGCGGCCGGAAGCCATCTGCTTCTGCGGTTTATACAATAGCAACTTTATCAGAGGTTACTTTTCTGCACGCTAGCGTATGACATTAATTTGTCTTCCTGATTCATCAAAGGGAATTTCCGTTGCAGTTGGTGATGCAGTGGGCCTCTCCCATTTCTTTTTTCTTTTCATCCATTACAATCAAGGAACGATTTGCAAGAACATCCTTTACCCCTGGAAAATAAGGCATCCAGGGCTAAAAGTCCCAAAAGAAAGAAGCTGGAAACAAGATCTGGGGATCCAATTTTAAATTTCACATTAATCATTCAGTTAAACTGTAGACAAGTGCTGAAGTACATTTTTCCTTCCAGTACTTTGACTCAGATACCACTTCATATTAGACAAATGTTTTATATTCTCTACTGAGTATTTTCCATTTTCATAGGGCTAATGTCATTTTCAGTTGTAATAATCGATTGGCATAGTGTCAATGGAAATTTTTTAAGATTGAGTTTGTAGTGAGCAGACTTTTGGAAGGAACAGTGCTGACATCCAATGGATGCTCAAAGTAATACAGAGGAGGAATCTCCTTTCAAAAAAAAATGTACAGACAGTGGAATGGAGAATGAATTATTCCCTAAAAAAAAAAAGCCACTGTGGGCTGGATGTGGTAGCTCACCCCCGGAATCCCAGCGCTTTTGGATGCCAAAGTGGGAGGATCCCTTGAGCCCAGAACTTCCAGACCAGCCTGGGCAACATAGGGAGACCACCCTCTACATAAAAAATAAAAATAAAGCTTTTAAGCTAACCTGGTGGCGTGATGGGATGCACCTCTGGTCCCAGCTACTCCAGAAGCTGAGAAGGGCAAATCGCTTGAGTTCAGGAGTTCGAGTTGGAGGTTACACTGAACTATGATAGTACCTTTGCACGCCAGCCTGGGTGACAGAGAGCTTGTCTTAAAAAAAGTAAAGAAGGCTACGGTGTTGTAGAGGAAAGATCCCAGACTTTGCAATTATAGTAAGTAGCAAAGCTACCAATTAATTATCTTAGCAAGTTGCTATTACATGAACCTATTTCACCATTGGTAAAAAGGGGGAAAAAATCTATTTCACAGGGCCATAATTATAGTTCCTTACGTATTGCTTTTTTATAGTAGGCCTTTTGTAAATGTTTAATTCAAGGTGAATAAATCACAGTGGTAAAAAAGGTGAAGAGTTAACCTCAGTGTTACTTTCCAAAGAAATTGCTATAAGGCAGTGTATCTAGGCAGGGATTATGCTTAATTGAGATGCACACAGTTTAACATCTGGTGTCAAACCTGGCTTCCTTCTTTGTGACCACCCTATAGATGTTTGCTTTTGGGACCACTGAGTAAACCAGGCCCTGAGAATCCAAGCATGAATCCACTTCTGCCCTACTTTTAAGGATTTACGTTCCATGCAGGAAAGCAGATAACCATAATTTCTGAATAAATAAGACAACAAAATGAAATGGATGCTGGTCAACTCTGATGCAAATTTTAAGAAGGAGACTATGCCTCTGTGTCTCCCAGCTTCACAGAAAAAAAAAAAAGAAAAAAGAAAGATGCTCAGAGTGGGGTACCTACACTTGGAAAAAACGCAAGTATAAGTCTGCCATTCCCATGAATCCAAGATGAATCCTGGCACAGAGTAGGTCCTCAAATTTTGCAAAATTAATTTTGAATCTTTATCACCCTGGCCAATGCACTGCCATAATGCAAATCTTACTATCTACCTTTCTATGTCAGTCACATTTTTAAAACTGTGTAACCTATGAAAAAAAAAAAAAAGCTCACCAAATCAAAAGAGAGGAAGTGCTAAGCAAATACAGGAACCAAAAAGGTTTATAGAGGCTGCCTTATGCTGTCTCATCCAGTTCCTTTGCGGTCCTCTTCTTCAGCACATGCCAAAGCTGTTCCTCACGGCCTGTGAGACAAGAGCATCTTGGATGTAGGACAATGGAAGAGTTAGGTGAGTGAGGAGCCTGAGGAGAAACTCTGAGGGAGTGAAGACTTGGCTGCCATCTCCTTGTGTGGTGGGGTATACTTCTGGCTAGACTGAGGGTAGTAATGGAAGATTTTATTTTCACTTCTTTCCTGTCCTCAGCCCTGCCAAGAGTGAAGCATGAGGAACTATGATTGTTTTGGGGAACTATGGGTTCACTGTTTGCAGTGGCAAAATAGATGGAGAGTTTGGTGCTAACCGCGGAATAAACTCTTGGCAAATACTTTTGGACTGGATTGTTACTGCAGTTGTTGTCTTGTTATGGGCGTTTTGCCCTTTGGAGGTCACTGGAGATCAAGGGTGGCCACATAGCGAGACAATGCAGAGATATGATTTGAGGAGGAAAAGAAAGAGCAAAAAGGGAATTGGGGTGTTATGAGGAAGAAAAGACGGACTAGAAGTATAAGAATGAGGGATCTGTAGAGGTTGGAAAAAGGCCAGAGTGGTTTCATTTGTTCCATGTTTTAGTATTAAATCAAGAAGGCATAGCACTCTAACTCTAGTGATTTTGTTGCTAAGCTTTTTATTCAGAAGAATTCTGAAGGAAGAGATTACTAGGGCCTGAAAATATGACACCTCCTTCCACTCTAAGACAATTAAAACCAGCAGTGGAACTATTAACCATATTAACCAGAGAAATCCTGGATTTCAAACCTTTGGAGTAATGTAAGGTTTGTCATTCTTGGGACTCATTCCATAGCCTTTGCCAACATCTGTTGCCAGCATCTTAACTAACACTGAGTCACTAAACTATACCCAATTTCCAAACTGTATTAATTCCACAGTGTCCTGGTTTGGGGTGTGTTTGGGGATAGGGTATGTCAAAAGTGCAAAAAACAACAACAAAAAATATCTTGCACATTGTTACATTGTCTTAAAAAAAATGGCGTGTGATTTCAAAGCTGGAGAAACAGAGGAAAAGTAAAGGGCAAATTACCAGGAGGCAAGAGATGTTAATGAAGAGAAAAAGGTAGTGTTTAATAAATATCAAACTGCTTTGGAGGTAAAGTCTATTTTGATATTGGGCCAGACTCTTTTTTGGACTTGGGGTAGAATTCTATTTCTTATCCTACGTGAGTGCTGGGAGAATGTGAATTTCTGCTTGAGTTCTAGTAGTGCTAGGGCCTTTTTTCTTTTTCTCTTTCTTTTTTTTGGGGGGGATGGAGGGGACACCGAAAGGCTTTCATGGCAAATAATTCAAAAGGAAACTAATACTTATTTAGTAAATCAAGCAAAAACTAGACATTTTTACATATGTTAATCATTTTAGTGTCTGCAGCAACCCTCTGAAATAGGTGTTATCCACTTCTTTTTCAGATGAGAAAACTAAGAAAAACAAAATAACTTTTTCAATGTCACTGTCGGGAACACCTGACACCAAAACTAAGCAACAAGGTGCTCTCCTATTTTAGAAGTTTATTGGTTCTGGTGTCTGTCCAATGAAGTAACCCAGATTTAACAGAAACTTATATTGTTTTGCATCTCCTGAGCAGGCTAAATGTTAGGTAAATCTTGTCTGGAAATACAGAAAGTACCAAGTAGCCTGGAAGCTAATATTTGTGCAGATTATCCAGTTGGCTACGTCTCCACAGGCTGTTGATGGCTACACTTCAACAGTTTCTTCAAATTGTCATCAGCCCAGTAACTACCCTTGAGACTTGGTGTGGATCTTTCTTCCTGCTGGCAGAGAAATGGCATCGAGGACAGGTTGGCTCAAGTGAGCAAATATTTCCTGTCTGCAGTGGTGCCTCAGAGGCTAGCAGCTTGTATACACCCAGAAGGTTTTACCTAAACCCTCATTACGTAGGCATTAGGCATGATAGATAAAGAGGAACCAGGAGCAGATTCTGCCTCCGAATGAAATCCATGCAACCCTCAGAGACTCCCAAGAGACCTCACTTTACTCCTTTCATGTTAATATTGATATTATTTCATCTCCACAGTAAAAGACTACAGAGAAGAATTATGGAGTCTTCAGTCTAGTCCCCACTTCCCCCGCCCCCACTCTCCAGGAATCCCATATTTGTCATACTGAAATTAGTCATCTTCAAATTACAAAATCTGGCAAAAGGCATAATAACCTCACAGTGTTGGTGATATGCACACTCATATGAAACAGGAAGAGAAAAGCCTATAACTCATGACCCAGAAAGAAGGGTTTTGATAACTTTGGTTAGCTGGTGCTTCTGAGGGCAACTTCCTACTCTTTGTGGTATGGTTTCTTCTCTCTTATAATCTTTATTGTAAATGGCTTTTTATTTTGAGCTCAGGAGGATCTTTGGCTTCTAGTTAGAGCAAAGCTTAGAAAATAGAAAAGAAAGGGGCTCTAGCATAATTGAAAGATGTAGAATAAAAATTCAAAATTCTCAAATTTGGTGTGGGGTCTGGCTAATAAAAATCTGAGGCAAAAAGTTTTCTTTCTTTTTCTACCTTAGTTTTCTTTTCTTTTTCTTTCTTTTCTTTTCTTTTTTTTTTTTTTTGAGACGGAGTTTTGCTCTTGTTGCCCAGGCTGGAGTGCAATGGCACGGTCTCGGCTCACCGCAACCTCTGCTTCCCAGGTTCAAGCGTTTCGCCTGCCTCAGCCTTCCTGAGTAGCTGGGATTGCAGACATGTGCCGCCATGCCTGGCTAATTTTGTGTTTTTAGTAGAGACGGGTTTTCTCCATGTTGGTCAGGCTGGTCTCGAACTCCCAACCTCAGGCGATCCGCCCGCCTCGGCCTCTCAAAGTGCTGGGATTTACAGGCATGAGCCACCATGCCCGGCCTATTTGTCCTTCTTTTTAAAAAACTTCTATTATAAAGAAATTTAAGTATGCAAAAGTAGAGAAAATAGTTTAATGAATTCTGATATACCCATCAACCAGTTGAAACAATCAGTTCTTCATCAGTCTTACTTCATATATATGCCCACCCATTCCTTTCACCCCTGTAATTATGTTAAAACAATTTCAGATGTCATTTTATCTGTAACTATTTTAACACTGACCTCTAAAATAAATATATATTTATACATATAACTGTAATGCCATTGCCATAACAACAGCCTTAATATTAATTCCTTAATATTGTAAAATACCATTATCACACCTAAAAACTTAACAGAATTAATTAATATTATTAAATATCATTATCACACCTAAAATAAACAGTACTTACTTGATATTATTTAATATCCAGTCAGTGTTCAATAGTCTTGATTGTTTCATTTTTACAGTAGATTTAATGATCCAAATAAAGTTCATACACTGAAATTTATTATAAGTCTCTCAACTTTTTAATGCCATAGGGTCCCACTCATCTCTTTTTTCCCATTACAGTTATTCATTTGCCCGAGAGTTTAGTTCAGTTTGCTTATCTCTAAAATGGTACATAAAAGTCAACATTTTTGATAAATGGATGATTATGAAAGATCTGTATATTTCATTTGTTAAAAAAAAAAGGATTAGATCTCTTCTAACGCCATTAAGAAATATTCATTCCTCCAAAATCTAAAATAAATGAAAAATCTGTTTTTTTTTTAATGACCTGTGAAGTTTATTTTCCTTATCTGAGAACTTTAGATGTAGGCAGGTCCTTAGAAATAATGTAATTATGTGTTTAAAGTTTGAAAGCTAAAATCTGTGGTAAGAAGTCCGCTAGAGATCCACTAATGCATTATTGAGCCATAATTTGAAAAATACTGTTCTAATCAAATTGCCTTGTTATGTAGATGAGGAAACTGCATCAGAGAAGGATGTGACATGCTCAAGGTAACCCAGAGAATATATATAAGACAGGAGACTGGAACTTCTAACTTTTAGTTAATGCAGGGGCTAGGGATCAGATAGCCCAGATTCAAGTCCTGGTTCTGCATTCATGCGCTTAAGCAAATTATTTTTGTCTCTTTCTTGTGATCTACAAAATAAGGACAATAATATCATCTGCCTCAAAGTGTTAGGATGATTAAATGAAATGTGTAAACTCCTGAGCACAGTGCCTGGCATGTGTTAATTTTTATTAATTATTATTTATTTCATTGTAACAGATAGATACTAGTATATAATACTTTTCCAAAAAAAAAAAAAGAAAAAAAACTGAAAGAGTAACAAATCCCAACTATTTAAATTGCAACATCTTACTTGATTTTGCAATATCTCAGTTTTATCCCCAACCATTTTTTCTCTCCACACCCTAAAAGACAGGATACTTATACCTTGCTTTGAAAATTTTGTTACGTGCTCAGGATAATTGTTAAGATTTAAGAAAAAATATCATTAGGATTAAGAATAAGTGTTATTTCCCTCGTATGTTTTGAAAAATGGTAATATAATTGCTTCTATTTTTCTGATAGAAAAAAGCATTTAGGATTTATTTATTTATTTATTTATTTATTTATTTATTTATTTTTTGAGACAGGGTATCACTCCTTTGGCCCAGGCTGCTGGAGTGTGGTGGCGTGATCTCGACTCATCGCAGGCTCACCTAGGCTCAGGTGATCCTCCCACCTCAGCCTCCCAAGTAGCTGGGACCACAGGTGTGCATCACCATGCTGGGCTGACTTTTTTGTATTTTTCATACAGACTGGATTTTGCTATGTTGCCCTGGTCTGGAACTCCTAGGCTCAAGGGATCCTCCCGCCTCAGCCTTCCAAAGTGCTAAGATTATGGGCATAAGCCACTATACCCAGCCCAGTTTTATTTTTTTCTAATTAAGGATATTTGTGGGGAATCTACCCTAAATGAATGATGAAAATTAATACCTGTGGTATAAAAAATCAAATTATAGCATGAGACTATGAAATTGAATGCAACCATAGAAAATAAGAAACAAACCACAATTTATGGAGGTGTTAAACATTTCTTGGTAGGATTCACCACATTCTTGAAGTGAAATAAGGAATAAGGGAAAGTATTTGAAAATAGCCATAATTGAAGAAAAGGAGATGAATGTGGGCACAGTGAAGATATTTAAGGAGAAAATGACTGTAGGGATTTAAATATTCTCTGTCATGATTCTCTTGCTTCTTATGGTGTAGATGCCTTATTGGAGGAACTGGAACGCTCCACCCTTCAGGACAGTGATGAATATTCCAACCCAGCTCCTCTTCCCCTGGATCAGCATTCCAGAAAGGAGACTAACCTTGATGAGACTTCGGAGATCCTTTCTATTCAGGATAACACAAGTCCCTTGCCGGTAAATTTTCATTTATTATAGTCCTTAAACATGGATGTTTGAGTGCATTTCTGAAAATTAACAGAATCCCACATAAAATAATATGAAAGGAGAATAATATATCCAAGAAAGAGAAAAAATAATGCCTCAATGTTAATCTAAAGATGTTTTTGGAAAGAGGAAGAGAATTGAGAAAATCATCACAGAGGAATGAGTTTTTGAGAACTAAATTTTTTTTATTTTTTTTATTTTTTTTATTTTTTTTTTATTTTTTGAGACAGAGTCACACTCTGTCTCCAAGGCTGGAGTGCAGTGGCACAATCTCGGCTCACTGCAACCTTCACCTCCCAGGTTCAAGCGATTCTCCTGCTTCAGCCTCCCAAATAGCTAGGATTACAGGCACGCACCACCATGCCCAGCTAATTTTTGTATTTTTAGTAGAGACGGGTTTTGTCATGTTGGCCAGGCTGGTCTCAAACTCCTGACCTGAGGTGATTCACCCGCCTTGGCCTCCCAAATTGCTGGGATTACAGGCATGAGCCATCACGCCCAGCCGAGAACTACATTTTTTCTAATGAGCACATGGTCACAGGCAGAGTATTGCATTCACTGGGGATATTCTGATGTTACTGTGGGGGCATCAGAGATGCCTGTTGCAGTTTGACTGGAATGGTACTCAGGCCAGAGATCACCTGAGGAAGGCCAGGTGGCAGCATAGACAAGTCTTCTCAGGGTGACTTTTTAGGGTCACTACTTCCCAGGTCTTATTTTCTGCTGAATAGATTAGGAGATTCAATTATTAGTTTATATAGAGATGATGAAGCTCTAGGGAACCAACTCAAACTAACCAAATTGACAAGTGATTATATATATATTTTAAAAACCTAGGGCAGGTGCAGTGGCTCAGGCCTGTAATTTCAGCACTTTGGAAGGCTGAGGCGGGGGGATCACTTGAAGCCAGGAGTTTGAGACCAGCCTGGGCCATATGGTGAGACCCCCATCTCTACGAAAAATTAAAAAATGAGCAGGGTGTGGTGGTGCGTGCCTATGGTCCCCGCCACTCAGGTGGCTGAAGCAGGAGGATTGCTTAAGCCCAGGTGGTCGAGGCTGCAGTGAGCTATGATTGCGCCACTCCATCCCAGCCTGGGCGACAGAATGAGAGCTTGTCTCAAAAAACAAACAAACAAAAAAAAAACAAAACTCAGAAATCAAATTTACAGTTAAAGCTATCAAGTAAAACAGCTATATTTACTCATATATGCATTCTCTTCCTATGGATAAGTCTATATGGACGTACATTATAATTAAAAGGTTGCTTGATGAGAATGGAATTAGTGTAAGATGAATTAAGTAGATGCTCTTCATAGCTGGTAATTTTGTACTATGATATTTTGATTCATCATTGTTCCCTGTATGAAATAGCCAGAAGCACAGACCTGAAATTTGAGCTCAGGGGTAGTTTACGCCCTAACTGTTCTTTTCTCCAGACACATACACAATTTTAACGATACGAATTTATCTCTCTACTAGGGAACTATTGTCTTTGTTCTCAGTGTTAGATTATAGCTGTAGGCTCCTAAGTGGTCTCCTGCCCTTTGCCCCACTGCAGTCTGTTCTCAAGCAGCCAGGGTCACCTTTAAAAACTAAAGTCAGACCCTGTCATTCTTCTACTCAAAACCCCAAAATGACTCCCATCTCATTTGGAGTAAAAGCCATAGTTTCATGTTGATCTTTCTGGGGTGACCATATATCCTGGTTTACCTGAAAGAGTCCTGGGTTTATGCTTGTTTTTCTCACATCCTATTAACTTTACTTTTTACCCCAGATCTTCAATTTTATTTAAAGTTTTCTTATCAGTATTTGCATTAAGTAAGCCACTATGGCTTAACAGACCTCCTTCCAGCTTCTTCCATGGTCTCATCTAGCAGCGTATGAAACACATATTCAGTGAACAGTGCTCTTTTTTTTTTTTTTGAGATGGAGTCTCTTTCTGTCGTGCAGGCTGGAGTGCAGTGGTGCAATCTTGGCTCACTGCCACCTCTGCCTCCCAGGTTCAAGTGATTCTCCTGCCTCAGCCTCCTGAGTATCTGGGACTACAGGCATGCACCACCATGCGCAGCTAATTTTTGTATTTTTAGTAGAGACAGGATTTCACCATGTTGACTAGGCTGGTCTTGTACTCCTGACCTCAGGTGATTTGCCTGCCTCAGCTTCCCAAAGTGCTGGGATTACAAGCACGAGCCACTGTCCCCAGCCAAATTCTGACTTAATTATGGTTAAATGCAAAAGATGGCTAATGATAACTTGTCTTTTTTCTTGATTCTGTTCAGATGAAACCTAGCTAGCAGCAACCTTTCAAGAATTATATGCAGGGTGCTGCCTGTTAAAGCTAAGAGCTCAAGCACAAGTACCTCTTCTGATCTTAGGTGGTAGCAGAAGAATTTCTGAGGCTTTTCCCCCTGCTGGCCACTTTGTGAACCACCACTCATGCCCTCATGTGGTCGTGTGGTGGGTGGCCTGTGAGATGCGTGGAACCTCCTCAGAGTCAGTAGAAAATGGGAGAAATTGTGGCTTAATGTCATACAAATTATGTTTAGGAAATAGAGGCTAAGTAATTTTGCCATAGAGTATAGTGTAACCTAATTGTTTTATTAAAGCAGTTTTGTTATTATTTGTATATGTGAAGCTCTATTTGTTTTATTATATGGTAATGCCTTTTGAATTTTACAATAAACCCTTTCAGCAGTTAGCTCAAAACAAAACCCACATGTTTAATTGTCTCAAGAAAGCTGATAATGAATATGCAACGTGCAGAAAATATTTTTCAATATTTACCATGTACCATGCAGGCAAGTAGAAAGATCACTATCCCTTTGAAAACCAGAAGGTACAAATATGGTGAAGCAGCTTTGGCATCTATTTCCAAAGTTAATAATTTAAGAAGAATATGCCTTAAAATGACTTCAACACGGCAGCTGCAGGAGGCCTATGTACATGTCATTGTGAAGCACACCTTCCCATTAGTATCAAATAACTCATAAATTAATTTTGCTCATTTTCAATTCCAAGTTTTCTTGTACTTGTAAGTAAACTGGTAATAATTAATGAGTGATTTTCCTTTGCAAACCTTCAAATAATGTTTTTTATAATAATTTCCTTAGAGGTCTCAATTCAAAAATGTATTAATTCTGAAATGTTTCAATTTTGTTTTTTATCTAATTCAAACAATCAAAATAAAATATGTGAAAATTTATTTCCTAGTCAAAAAGTGAAACATCTGACATTGTTAATGCCACTGTAAATTTAGTTGAAAAGCTCAACATTGAAGGTAAACTGTTGTTTTTGTTGTAAGAATATGAATACAAATGTTAATAGAGCACAGCATTGTGTTAAAAATGTTCTTACCAAGTTAACAAGCTATGAAGCAGAAATGTACTTGGAATTGGTTGTAATGTGCACAAAATTTGTGACTGCATTCAAACAAGCTGCGGTATTCTGTCAGTCAAAACAGAAACTAAAATTGTCAAAATGTATAAATTATAAATATATATATACACACACACACACACACACACAGATTTTATAAGTAACTGATCTACAAAACTTTTCTGACAGAAGCTGATATTGAACACTACCATGCAAGGAAACATTTCAGAATGACTATATGTATATTCCTGTCTGTGTTGCATGTCATCAATTGGATTTTGGGAATGCCTGAGCCTTTGAAAAACCACTTTGTAAAGCAACCCAAATTTAGATTGCATTATGTTCAAGACCAGTTGGAAATTTTTAATCGATTACTGAATGAATGTAGCATGAAAATTCAGCTTTTGAAGCTTTTAGCAAGTTACAATTATGTAAAATAAGGCTTGCAAAGGAAGAAGCTCAAATTTCTCCCTACAAAAGCGAAGAAGGAGTTGAACAAATCAAAAGATGAAAGCAGATATGGTTTAATTATCTATTTTGACAATTGTGCTTCAGAAAAATCTTGACTTTGATGTATTTTGACTTCTAATTTTATTTGGATAAATTTTTATTCTCTACCAAAATGGAGAAAAATTGTGAAAGTCTATGATTTTGCAGTATCTAGATTTGGTGAAATGTTGAAACAATCACAGATATAGACAACTTGAAAGTTTTATCTTGTAAGAAATTATTGAGCAAAAGTGCTTTGAATGAAGGTAGAAAGACAGCACCTATGACGATATTGGCCTGAAATATTTACATATTTTAATCTAAAAAATGAGAAGATTCTTCATTTAGCAGAACTTACAGGTTCATCAGTATCTAGAGAGGAAATGTGTTCTCAGTTAAAAACATATAGTGAAGCATCAATTAAAGTTGTCCATAATTTCAAATATATTAACCATAAAATGAAGTTTTGAAAAAGATTGCAGTTTTATAAAAAAATAACTGTTTAAATAAAAAACGAAAAAAAACACATGTTCCTGAAAAATGTCCACATCCCAATGCTAGAGACAATAATATCTAAATAACCAATTAAGGTATGTGAATACATATAAAGAATAATTGTCTGTACCATTAAAAATGTTCAGATAATCAATTTTTTGTTGTTGTTGAGACAGAGTGTCACTCTGTTGCCCAGGCTGGAGTTCAGTGGCATGATCTTGGCTCGCTGCAACCTCCGCCTCCTGGGTTCAAGCAATTCTCCTGTCTCAGCCTCCCGAGTAGCTGGGACTACAGGCACCCACCACCATACCTGGCAAATTTTTTTGTATTTTTAGTAGAGACAGGGTTTCACCATGTCTGGTCACATGACACCAGGCTGGTCTCAAATTCTCCTGACCTCAAATGATGCACGTGCCTCAGCCTCCCAAAGTGCTGGGATGATAGGCGTTAGCCACTGTGCCTGGCCAATATTTTTTTAAAGTTGCTTGAATGTTCATAACTTTGTATCACTATCACTTTAAGATATTTCAGGAAATTTTTATTTTGAAAATAAATTTTGGATAGAATTATCTTATAGGTCCACCAATATAATAAGACCAAATTCAGGTCAATAAACACATTTTTTTTTTTTTTGAGACCGAGTCTCGCTCTGTCACCCAGGCTGGAGTGCAGTGGCATGATCTCAGCTCACTGCAATCTCTGCCTCCCGGGTTCAAGCAATTCTCCAAGCCTCAGCCTCCTGAGTAGCTGGGATTACAGGCACGCAACACCACTCCCAGCTAAATTTTTATAGTTTTAGTAGAGATGGGGTTTCACCATGTTAGCCGTGATGATCTCGATCTCCTGACCTCGTGATCCGCCTGCCTCAGCCACCCAAAGTACTGGGATTACGGGCGTGAGCCACCACGCCCGTCCAATAAACACATATTTTAAAAATGATACAAGCTCGTGACCCGTCTGCCTCGGCTGCCCAAAGTACTGGGATTACGGGCATGAGCCACCATGCCTGGCCAATAAACACATATTTTAAAAATGATACAATATGACTTATTTTTGGAACCCATTTTCTTTCTAAAAAATACCCCATTCTGAACGTTTGGTGATGTGGCCACCTCATCTGTATGATCTGGCCCCTTTACTTGCTGTCCCTGTGTCCTTGGTTCACTCTGCTCAGGCCACACTCTCCTTCTCGTGGTTCCACAGATGCTCCAGGTGGTTTTCCTGCTGGCCTTTCCACCTGAATCATATGACCCCAGATATTTGCTTTCTTTCCCCACCTCCTATATAAGTCCTTGCTCAAGCGTTCTCTTCTCAGTGAGTCCTTCCCTGATCAGTATATTTATAATTGCTGTCTCTCCCCACTTCCCATCCTCTATGCAGAATATTACTTTTACATACCAATTTCTTTATTATTTGTTTCACAGCACCAGAATGTAAGCTTCAGGGCTTACAGTTTTTATTTGATTTTTTTGCTTTTTGACTGCTACATCCTCAGCCCTGGCACATGACAGGCCCTCAATACATATTTGTTCAATTAATAAATGAATTGCCAGCCAACCATCTTTTAGATTCACATGTTATTTCTTTTCATATGTCAAGTTTAATAACATTATAGTCTCCTCCTAGGCACCATCCTGTTTAGTTAAAGGGGCTTAGCTCTGACCCATTTTATTTGATTTATGGTTCTTATCTAAGGAGGATCAACTTCTCTATTTGGGTGGTTTTTAGGCAAGGAGGGGCTGCTAGTGTTTGTTCACATGCCAACTACTCTGTTTAGAATTTGGCTTTTCTTTGTGGGATGGCTGGTAATTCCTCTGGCTTGTGAAAGAAGAGCTCATAGATATGCCACTTGTCAGTCCCCTTTAAAAGCTACAAACATCTATTAACTGTGGGTATCATTAAGCCTCAACATTCTGATAACAAAAATTTATTCTTTGCTCTTCTCTTGTCACTTATATATCTTAGGCGCAGCTCGTGTATACTACCAATATCCAGGAGCTCAATGTCTACAGGTATTTTTTTTTCTATTAAATGCTTTTAAAAATTAAAGTTAGTAGATAATTGTTATCAATCTTTGTTTGGGTGATAATTTGCTTTGCAAGTGTTTATTATTAGAACTCGTATATCATCCTCCTCTTTCCATAGTCTTTGAGCATAGGTAGAATTCTGTGAAGCTGACTTGACAACTTCTCAAGGTGCCTGGCTTCTGGAAGGGTTGTCTAGGCTAGTGGGCCCTGCTATGTCCATTACCACCTAAAGAAGTGTAAATACTCCCAGAGTTACCACAGATGTTTTGTCCACGCTATTCCAGATGTTATGCTTCAGTTTCCTGAAAGATAAAACACACCTGAAGAAACTTCAGCAAGATTCTAGCAATGTCAGAGCTAGGATGAGGGTTAAACTAAGACAGTGGGTCTCCATGGCCAACTGATGAGTATTTACTTTTTCTTTCCATATTTGCTCAAAATTTGTATAGTGGGTAGAGGGATTTCCTTTTATGAGAAGTTCCATATTAAAACAGATACACTTACTAAATCATTTCTCCTGGCTAAAGCAGAATTGGCAGTCTGAAAAAATAACAAGATTAACTTACTTATTCTCTCCTTAGTTATAGCTTGCAATTTTTAACATCAGACAACTTTCTGGAAAACAAATTAAAGAGCATAAAATATAGATAGTAAAGATTCATGCTTGGGAAACAGTGCTAGATCACACCTTATTTGGTTTCAGGATTGCAGTCAATAGTGCACACATGCAAGGCAAAAATAAGGCAAGAACTGTGCTACAAGAAGTTTTCTTAAAACTTCCCTCTTAAGGATGCTTTTTACTTTGGTGAAGGTGAGGCCAATTTATTGATACATATTGCCAGTTTATTCTAGTTCCAAGGATGTTGCCAGATGAGAATTCCTCCTAGTCCCTCCCCAGTCCCTGAAGCCCCAATGAAAAATAAAAACAAAGCAAAACAATAACAAAAAGTGGCTGGCACACAATAGGTCCTCAGTAAATATTTGGTTTCTTAAATCTAGGAAACCAAGACTCCAGTAGAAATGCGAGTGAATGCATGAACATATAACATGAAAACTAGCCCAACCAACAGCCTGTATATCTGGCACTGTGATTATTAACTGATGGTGTACCAATACTAACTTATTGACACCCTCTTCCTCATAGTATGGGCCTCTCTGGCCTATTTCCCATGATTTCCTCCTTCTCTTGCTCTGTATTCCAGGGGAGCTGACCCCTTGGGTTTTCCAGGCTCCAGGATCAGTTGGTCCTCACTGTCTTCAACCAATGGGAGGCACTGTGGAAAGACTGCAGGGTAAAAAGCAGTGAAATCCAGGGCATTTCCCCCCCACAAGTCGCTCTATTTCCACAGGATCTCTGTCAGCAGCTTTATCTTCTTTATGACTTCAGCTGGAGCACAACAGGTCTGCTGTGGTTTCACCTTCTGCCTGTTGACTTGGGCCCCTAGCTCTGGTAACTTCTCCTCTTTTCTTTTTCCCTTTGGCTTAGGGGTAGTAGTGACTTCTGGGTTATTCAGTGTCTTCTGTTTTGCTTCTTAGCTCTCCCCTCACCTGTGTAATCAGGTTTCTGGTCTAAACTCTGTGTACTCATGTGGTTTGTGTTTTCCTGACTGGCCTTTGATGTACTTCCTATTACTGAATGATACTTGCTGTGTAGCCAGGCCTCTGTGGGAGAGTGACATAAAATCCAGGTGACCTAGTAAATATGTAATAGATAGATGCACATCCCTGAGACTAGTATCACTCTGAGCTGGCAAGGCTAGCATATAAATAGAATATTAGACACACAAACTAGATTCCTGCATTCTGTTTCTACTATTTACTCTGGCTTGCTTAAATGAACTAAATATTGCTTTTAACATACCTTCAAAGTATTTTCAATACTAGCTCTGAATATAACAATGCAATAACATTTCTAGTATAGTTATATATCAATAGCAACATGAGCAATAATTTAGAAATGTATCTTTTACATAAACAAAAATAATTCTGGTAATAATCGAGAGGAATAAGTCATAAAAATATAACAGAGAAATAAGTAGGGGAAAAAAACCCAGCACAATGAAGCCCCTTGCTTAAGTCTGGATTCTTTTAGATGCATCTCTTGTGATATGTGTTACTGAAATCTCTGAGCAGTGAAGTAAGTTGCTGCTGATGACATAGCCAAGCATCTTTACTATCTTCAAAAGGTCAGGGAACAAATCAAAGGTTCTTCTCTTTTCAGGAACATTTCCTGCAGTGGGCACTTTAATTTGTAATCATTAACTCTTCAAGGTCTCTCATTTCTTATGTAGAATTTTATACTGTTGACTCAATAACTGTTGGAGTATTATAACAATGATCTATTTCCCTTTCTACACTGCACTAGGACTCTAGTTAAAAACCAGTGGGAATTCTTTGAATAAGCACAAATTTGCCCCAACTGTGAGATTGGAAGGTTTTTTAGGAATATACAAGCCCTGCTAAGAAACTGCATTTGTTCTGCATTTGGGCATAGGGCAGCAGAATGTGTTCACAGTCCTGCTGCCTTTTGTATTCCCAAGGCATTTGCCTGTGGCAGCAGCTACGAAAGGATTATGACTGATCGAGCTGTGAGAAAAAGCTCCAGTGTACCTTCTGGGAAACATCCACAATGGATTGAATCAATTACTTGCATACTTGACTGGTTTTGCTCTCAGATTAAAACAAAAAATCTTGCATCTAGTAGAGGGCCATGTTGTACCTAAAAGATAAATCTTTTATCTTAAGAGATATCCATTTTCCTCTTATATTTTCCTTGTTGTTAAGTGATCAAAAATAAGTGGACATGAGATATGTCGTATCCAAAAGATAGTCTTTTCTTCTTAAGAGAGAAAAGTATCAACTTTTCTTCTACTTTTTTTCTGGCTGGTAACTACATAAAGATAAGTAGTAAATGTATGTTTTCATTTTTGAAAATATATTAAGTGAAAGACAGAACATTTACTTTTATTTATGACTTTGCATCTTTGTGCAGAGAGAGAGAGAGAAAAGGCTTGAGTAGTCGTGAGACAGAGGGTTTTGGTTTGGTGGGTTGTTAGCTAAGCTCTGTTGATTAATGTTGATTACAAACATGATTCCACAGTCAGTTACCTTTTTATACCTTTTGGCCCGGTGATTTCCCTTCTTAAAATTTAACTCTTATGTAAATGATCAAACATGGGTGCAAATATTTGTTTGGCAGTATTGATTATAATAATGAAAGTTAGAAAACAATCTAGGTGTCCAGCAATAAATTATTAGTTTGATAAATTATATAATACATTATCTATTTGAAAATATATAGCCTTTAAACATTATTTTGGCAGATAATTCAGGACACACAGCACAAACTTTGCAGTTTGCAGGCCCAAGCTCTTTGTTACTTGCCAACTGTATTATGTACAAAAAAGTTTTTAACTTCTCTAAGCCCCAGTTTTTCATTTGGAGGTGATAATACCTAGCTCTTAAGGTTGTTATTATAAAAGATTTAAAGAGAACCTGTGTAAAGCTCTGTATAGAGTGTCAGGCATAGTGCAGACAGACATTCAATAAATGCTACCTATTATGGTTGCAGAAGATAGAAAAATGTTTGCATAAGAGTAGGAAAAATGTATAATTTTAGTTTTCTAAAATTACACACAATCATAGTTAAGTGTAATGGTATCAGCCAAAATGTCCAGAGTAAATGCCTCCTGAAAAGGGGATTATATGTGTTTAAAATTTTTTCTGTATATTTCTCTGCAGTTTTCAAATTTTCTACACTTAACATGTGTTAATTTTATATTTTAGAACAATTTTAAATAGAAAGCTCTACACTGTGACTATATTTATGTACTTTACTGAAGATTGTTTGTAGAACCATTGTGTGTGTATGTGTGTGTATAATAACTGAGATATACAGGTGAATTGCATTACTGATGTCTCATCTGACACCTCCACCACTTCATCTGTTGGCCATGTGTGTTAGCTATTTTCCTAGTATAGATGACCTGTGTTTTGTTTTGTTTTAAAAATATAACTTAAGATACAAAACTATTTCATAAACTCATGTGCGTAAAAAGTCGAAGAATTTGGAAATGTATACATAGGGTGAAAATTGAGACCACTCCTCTTAGAGTCTTTCCTCTCACCAACTCATTACCAGCTCCACAGGTAACTGCTGTCAGGTTCTTCTCCTTACAGACTTATGTGTGTGCATATTCATACTTATGTACATGGGCTTATAAATTTATATAAATGGAAGTAAATTTTTTTCTTTTTTAAATTTGAGATAGGGTCTGTCTCTATTGCCCAGGATGGAGAACAGTGGTGTTATCTTGGCTCACTGCAGCCTTGACCTCCTGGGCTCAAGTTATTTTCTCATCTCAGCCTCCCAAGTAGCTGGGACCACAGGCATGTGCCACCACACCCAGCTAATTTTTAAAATTTTCATAGAGATGGAGTCTCCCTATGTTTCCCAGGCTGGTCTTGAACTCCTGGGCTCAAGCAGTCCTCCTACCTCAGCCTCCTGAAGTGCTAGGATTACAGGCATGAGTGACTGCACCAGGCTGGAAGTATAATTTTCGTATTGTTCTGGGCTTTTCTTTTTTACACTAACAATGTTTGTTGGAAGTCTTTTTTAGTTCACTTAAATCTATGTCTGCTTAGCAGTTGCATGTTATTCTATAGCATGGATGAACCATTATTTATTTTACTTTAGCTCCATTGGTTTATTTCCAATTTGCTCATAGAAAATGTACCCTAATAAATGTCCTTGCACATATATTTATATATATATGTCCAATTTTTCTGTAGGATAGATTCTTAGTAGCAAAATTGCTCAATCAAGTGGTATATGTGTCTGAAATGTTGATAGATACTGCCTTGCAAAAGTGTTTATAAATTTATATAACCACCTATGGTATATATAAATGTGTATGTGTATATATATAAAATTCATATTTTGCCAACACTGCATATTATCCCTCTGTTAAAATTTCAACTAATAGGTAAATATTAGTATCTCATTGCTTTAAATTGCAAATTTAAAGATTAATGAGGTTGAGGGTATTTTTATATAGTAATAAACATTTGAGTTTCTTTTTCTGAAACCTGCTTTTTAAAAGAATCTTTAGCTCAGGTTTCTATTTTTCTAAATTATTTATACATTTCTTTAAAATCTTGAATATTATGTTTTAAATATTTATTTATATTTAAGTTTTGTGAACTTAGCTGTATCAATATTTTTTTCATTTTTGAAATCACTTCAGAATTTTATGTCCATCTTAGGAAAACCTTCATTACCCCAAATTGTAAAATATATTCTTCATTTTTCTATTATCTTTACATTTAAAAATATTGATATCTATCTTTAATTTGTCTCAAATTTATTCATGTATTTGGTGTGTTGGGGATCCATATTTATTTTGTACCAAATAGGTTGTTATTCTTTGAGTCGAATAGTCTGTTTTGGATGATTTGAAATGCCCCATTGCTCATATAGGAAGTTCTTTTAGGTGCAGGAGCCTGTTTCTGGGTTTTCTAATCTACTCCTTTGACCTATTTGTTTTTCTTTTTCTTCTTCCTTTCCTTTCTTCTCTTTTTTTTTTTTTTTTTTTTTTTTGACAGGGTCTCATTCTGCTTCTGTTGTCCAGGCTGGCATGCAGTAGTGTGATCACAACTCACTGCAGCCTTGGCCTCCTGGGCCAAAGTGATCCTCCTGCCCCAGCCTCCTGAGTAGCTGAGACGACAGATGTGTGCTACCACATCTGGCTGATTTTTAAATTTTTGTAGAGACAGGGTCTCCCTATGTTGCCCAGGCTGGTCTTAAACTCCTGGGTTCAAGCAGTCCTCCTGCCTCAGCTTCCCAAAGGGATCACAGGTATGAACGATCGCACCCAGCCCTATCTTCTTTACCAACATCATACAAATTTAATTATTGTTACTCTATAAGACACCACATCTATCAAGACAAATCTTCCCTCCTGTTTTTTTTTTTCTTTACAACTTTTAATTTTTATAGAGACCAGGTCTCTCTCATGTTTCCCAGGTTGTTCGCAACTCCAGGTCCCAAGTGATTCTCTTACCTGGACCTCCCAAAGTGCTGGGACCACAGGTGTGAGACACCACACACCCCTCCTATTTTGTTTTTCCAAAATTGTCTTGAGTGTTCTATCCCATAAATGTTAACATCATCTTATTAATTAGCTTGAATAATTATATCAGAATTTTTATTTGAATTACATTGAATTTACAGTTTAGGGGAAACTGACATAATATTTATCTTCATTTATATAGGCTTTCTTTTCTAAAAATAAATTTTATTGTGCATATTTAAGGTGTACAATATTATGTTATGGGTTATGAATAGTTAGTAAAATGGTTACTATAGTGAGGCAAATTAACATATTTATTATCTCACACAGTTACACATTTTTGTTTGTTTGTTTTTGTGGCAAGAACAGCCAAAATTTACTCTTGCAACAGGAATCCTAAATACGATACAATTTCATTACCGATAGTTCTTATGTTGTACATTAGATCTCTAGGCTTGTTCATCTTACATATCTGCTACTTCATATTCTCTAACCTACATGTCCCCATTTTCACCCCCTTTCCTGCCTCTCATCACCAGTGTATCTACATATTTGACCTTTTTAAATGACAAAAGAGGATTCCACCTATAAGTGAGATCATGCAATATGTTTCTTTCTTATTTAACTTGGTATAATGTCCTTCCAATTCATCAATGCTATGACAAATAGCAGAATCTCCTTTTTTTAAGGCTCACTAATATTCTGTTGTGTATGTGTGCATATTTCACAATTTCTTTATTCCATTGGTGTCCATCCATTGATGGACACTTAAGTTGTTTCCACCTCTTGGCTATTGTGAATTGTGAATATTGTGGCAATGAACATACGAGTGCAGAGATCTTTACGAAGTGGTAATTCCATTTATTTTGTGTATGCCCAGAAGAAGGATTCCTGTGTCATGTGGTATTTCTATTTTTAATTCCTTTAGAAACCTGCATATTATTTTCTGTAATGGCTGTAACAATCTACATTCCCACCAACAGTGTATAAAGGTTCTTTTTTCTCCATACCCTGGCCAACATTTGCCATCTTTTGACTTTTTGAGAATAGCCATCTGTTTGTGAGTGGTATCTCATAATAGTTTGATTTGCATTTCCCTGATGATTAATGGTGTTGAATACCTTTTCATATACCTTTTGGCCATTTTTATTTCTTCTTTGGAAAAATATCTATTCAGGTCCTTTGCTCATTGTTTAATTGGATATGTGGATCTTCCTTTATGTCTGCCAATGGTTTTTCTTCATAGAATTCTTACACATTTCTTGTTAAATATATTATTTGATATTTTACAACTTTTGTTAGAATTGTGAACAGGTTCTTTTTTTCGCATTGGATTTTCAAACTGCTTATTGATGATCAATAAGAAAGAGACTGTTTCATTTCATTCTTGTATCTAATCACCACCCTGATCTTTTTTATTCATTCCAATGGTTGTTCAGTCATTTATCTTACATTTTCCTGGGAAATTATTATACCATCTATTTTAAAAGAAAGACTGAGGATGTGCTGCCTTTTTTTCAAATATATAATTCTCTTATTTTACTTTTAAATGTGTTTGATAATGTATTCTAGAATAATGTTGAAGATTGCCAGTGATAATAGGATCTATGTCCAACTTATCTCTTAATTAGATATCTGCTTAATAATTATGAGGCTTGCTATATATTTCTTATGGAAACATTTTATCAGTTTATAGACTTTTTCTTATTTTTCTTGATATTCAACAACAGGAATGGTTGTTAAATGTCTTCCACGGCTTTTTCAGCACATATCATTGTGTTTATAAAGCTTTTCTCCTATTTGTTAATGAATTATATTAATCTTTTTCCTAATTTTGAATTTCAAACTATTTTTGGATAACCAGTATAAACACCACCTAGCCATGACTTGTTAAAATTTTTTATGTTTTTTAAAAAAAACACATTTCAACTGATTTTATTTAACCTTCTCTCTTCACACATGCACATCGTTTTTTCTTTGATTTTAAAAAGTTTCTGTGCTATTTATAGAATGAATTAGGTAATGTTCCATATTTTTCTATGTATTTGGGAATTTTATACAATGATCCCCCAAAAACTGTCAGTTTTTGTTTTATTTCTTGTTTTCTGTTTCACTAATTTATGCATTTATTCCTTCTGTTGAATTATTTTAGATTTTTCTGAGACTCTTGACTTGGAAGTTTTATTTATTTCTGATCTTTCTCACTTTTTAATATCACACTTAAGTCTATTTATATATTTTCTTCTCAATAACATTTAGCTTTCAACTCCCAAAGGCGTGTGTGTGTGTGTGTGTGTGTGCATGTGTGTGAGTGTGTGTGTGTGTGTGTTTTCATTGCTATTTCTAACTGGTTTGAAAATTCAGTTTAATTTTTTTATCCCAAGAATTATTTAGAAGTGCTTTGTTTTTTCTTAAGTGGATAGTTTTTATGATTAATTTGTACTTCTATTCACTCCAATCTAAGAATATGGTCTATATGATGTACTTTTAAAAATTTATTGAGCTTTACTTTGTATCTTCATACATAGTTAATTTTACTAATGTTTATGCAGCTACTTGAATAGAATCTGTATTCTGTTTATTGGGTCCAAAGTTTTATTTATTTATAATTTACTTACAATTATATGAATATGAAATCATCATCATATATATTATCTAAACTTTCTGCACCAGAGATTTGCAAACTTGTTCTGTAAAGAGGCAGATAGTAAGTTTGTTAGGCTTTTGTGGACTATAAAGTCTTTGTAGCAACTACCCAACTGTTCAGAAAAGCAGCTATGGACAGTAGATAAATGAATGGACATGGCCAGATTTGATCCAAGGACCTTAGTTTGTTGATGCCTGCTCTATATTCTAGTTTATTTTTATTTTTTGACAAAAACTGACAGGAGATATAATACTTTTTATAATTAGATGACCAGGGAGAAATAGAGAAAAAAGGCAGAGAGAACTTGTTTAGATTTTTGGTCTAGTACATATTAATATATTTTTAAAATACCCCCATCTCTGATTTTAGCTTCATATCCAGGGGATTCATTATTACAGTTGCATTTCCAGTACTTTATGTGTGGTTTAACATTATTTGAGTTTTGATTTGTTCATATGACTTTTTTGTTTTCCCTCTATAGTGAAGCCCAAGAGCCAAAGGAATCACCACCACCTTCTAAAACGTCAGCAGCTGCTCAGTTGGATGAGCTCATGGCTCACCTGACTGAGATGCAGGCCAAGGTGAGTGCAGGCCAAGGTGAGTGCAGGCCAAGGTGAGTGCAGTCCAGATGATAAACAGGGCCCATGGGGTCACCAGTTTATCTTTGTGGAACTCAGCTCTCCATTCTCCCACTTAGGAATTTTCCTAAGTTGTCATTGCTTTTTTCAGACTAAATTTAATTCCATGAATTAACCCATCTTTGTACTATGTGTTATTTGGACACAAAAATTAATATATAATACAGACTTTGATCTCAAGGAGCTGGAGTGTGCTTGGCAAAATGAGGCATAAGTTTCTTAACATTTATAGAATAAAAGCCAGGTGTTTTGCAAACATATGTGGAGCAAACATTACGGATATAGAGAGATTTTGGAGATTTAATCAGAGTTGAAACTTGGGATGGACTCTGAAGAACTGGCAGAGTTTGGACATAAAGAGATGGGAAGAAAGGTGGTTTTAGTTGCAATGAGTCCTGAGGGCAGAGGTATCTAAGGCTTGATGATGTGGAAGGATTTTTCATTTGTTTGTTTGTTTGTTTGTTTGTTTTTGAGATGGAGTCTTGCTCTGTTGCCCAGGCTAGAGTGTAGTAGCGCTATCTTGGCTTACTGCAACCTCCGCCTCCCAGGTTCAAGCGATCCTCCTGCCTCAGCCTTCCGAGTAGCTGGGATTACAGGTGCCCACCACTGTGCACGGCTCATTTTTGTTGTATTTTTAGTAGAGACGGAGTTTCACCATCTTGGCCAGGCTGGTCTCGAACTCCTGACTTCGTGATCCACCTGCCTCGGCCTCCCAAAGTGCTGGGATTACAGGCGTGAGCCACTGCGCCCGGCCAAAAGGACTGTTAAAGAGACCTGACTAAGCAGGACAGAGGAGACCAGTGAGCAAGCTGAGACACAGCAAGGGAGATCAAAGTATGGCTCTGACAGTAGGAAGGATGAGAAGTCCCAAGCCCATATTGAGATAAAATCTGCCTCTTTGTTCTAGCCTCTAGAACACCTCTAAAGTGGTGAGCTCACATAGTCGGGCATGGAATGGAAATCTCAGATAAATGGGCTTAAAGATTTATTAAAGGAAATATAATCCAGAATCCTTAAGGTGGAGAATCCAACCATTTTAAATCTGGTTGGAGGATTTGATATATACTCATGAGATGACTATGAAATAATTTCAAAGCAGTATATAAAAATGTATATGATTGGAGAGGGCAGGGACCTTATCTTTAGAGCTCACCTTGGGACTCCCAATGCTCAGCACAGGGCCTGATACATCGTGAGCAACACATATTTATTAGAGAGATGAGTAAATAAACATCACAAACAAGTTTTCCTTAATGACTGACATCCTTTGATGGGCCAGTGTCTACAATAAAGCTGGGTAGATTGGCTCATTATGCTGTATATCTGAAAATACTAGAAAAAATGTACATTAGATTTAATTGTGTTGCGTTTCTAGTTGATTTAGCTTGTGTATTGGTTGATTTAAATTTTTAATTTACAACACCATCTTTTTTTTTTTTTTTTTTTTTGAGACAGATTCTTACTCGGTTACCCAGCCTGGAGTGCAGTGGCATGATCTCGGCTCACTGCAACCTCCACCTCCTGGGTTCAAGCGATTCTAGTGCCTCAGCCTCCTGAGTAGCTGTGATTACAGGCGTGTGCCACCATGCCCAGCTAATTTTTGTATTTTTAGTAGAGACGAGGTTTTGCTATGTTGCCCAGACTGGTCTCAAACTTCTAAGCTCAGGCCACCTGTCTGCCTCGGCCTCTCAAAGTACTAGGATTACAGGCATGAACCACTGTGCCCGGCCCCATTTATCTTTTGAATAAGCTGCACTTTCACATTGTACACAAATCAAAAGTGCAAAAAGCTTGCACTGAACTGTTTCCTTCTCAGCTCTGCACCCTAGCCATCCAGTTCTGCCCCACCGGAGATAGGCAGAATTTCCTGTCTCTTCTATATCTGTTCAGAAGTATTCTGGAAGATAACAGTGAAGAGATAGAGATGTAGGTGTAGATGTAGTTATATTGTATTTTTACTTATTTTTCATAATTAATGTCAGTCACCCTTTCAGACCTTTCAGACACTAACCTTCTGAACACTAACCTCTTGAATATTAACTAACATATATTAGAGAAGGAAGGATGTCTGTCAGATGATCAAAATGTCTCGAAGCAAAATGAGCATTTTGATTGGTGACAGTGTGATGTTATAACAGGCAGTAAAAGTAGGATAAGTAGAGGTCTTAAGGCAGACAGTAACAGATCACATTCAGGAGATGAAGAGCCCAGCTGTCCTTTTACAACATAGTATTAATAAAAGATGAAATTGGGAAAGATAAAAAGGGAGGACAGTGGATGGGAGGCTTTGAATGTCTGTCTGATGAGTGAAGACTTGATGTGGTGGCAATGGAGAGCCATTGTAGTTTTCTGATGAGTGAAGTATTCAGTAGATAGATGGTAGCAGTCGCCCAGCTGGAAAGGAGTAGAGAGAGCCAGAATCAGGTTATGAGGTTATGAAGGGTCAGTTAGCCTTTTTTTTTTTTCTTTTAATTTGAGGATCCTTCTTTGAATGGTTTATAATAATTTTGGGCTTTTGCTTAAATAATTCCAATCCATCAACAAGTCTTATCTGACCACTTCTCACCACCTTCTCCTGTAATACTGATCTAAGTCATTATCTGAAAATCTCCCTGTATTCACTCTTGCTTGTCAACACTTAGTTCTCCACTCAGCTACCACAGGGATCCTCCAGATTCCTTCACTCCTGTGCTTGAAATCCTGCAATGGCTTCCATCACCTTGGAATAAAACCCAAGCGTTTACCATGAGGTTCCTATGTGATCTTTGCCTCTCTCTCCATCACCTTCTCCTGCCGTGTTCAATCTCACTCCCTCTGCTCTAGCCCCACTGACCTCTTTGACTTTTCTTCTAATGTGCCAAGTTGTTTTATTCCTCGGGGCCTTCCCTTCCCCTAGAATGCTTTTCCCATAAATGTCAATATTTCTAAGTCCCAAGTATCTACTCAAATATTACTTCCTTAGAGGGGCCTTCTTTGATTATTACCTCCATCTAAATCAATTCTTCTTACCATCTTGCTGTGTCCCTTCTATCTCTTTCTATAACTTATCTCTGTCTGACATTACAACATATATTTATTTATTTAATTATTTATTGTCTATCGCCCACAGAATGCAATTCCATGAGGCCAGACACTTGGTCTGTCTTATCTTTGCTTTAATCCAAGTGCTTAGAGCAGTGATTGGCACAAACCAGGTATTCAACAATTATTGCCAAATAAATGAGTAAAAGGGAGATGTGACTAATTTTTGAACTGGGGTCATCCTAAGATCTTCAAAGGGTATCATCTTCATGTACTAAATTTCCTACATTAAGAAAAGATTTACAAATATAAAATTAGTCAGATTTCATTTGGCCTGAGGAGTTTAGGATGAAAGGGAGATGAAAAGATTTTTATTGGTGTTGAAATTTTAGATTTTTCCAATGTCTTGCAGGAAGGTTGGGGAAAGGCCAAGAGATCAGTCAGTAGAGGTGAATTTATAGAGTCATTAGAAGATGCCAATGAGAATAAAAATGAGGCTGATTCTGTTCTTGGTTCTTCCCTTGGGCCAGGTTGCAGTGAGAGCAGATGCTGGCAAGAAGCACTTACCAGACAAGCAGGATCACAAGGCCTCCCTGGACTCAATGCTTGGGGGTCTGGAGCAGGAATTGCAGGACCTTGGCATTGCCACAGTGCCCAAGGGCCATTGTGCATCCTGCCAGAAACCGATTGCTGGGAAGGTGAGATGGGCTGAAATTTTGGTCCTACAGCCTTCTTTGTCTCTCTCTGTCTCATCAAGGTTTGCTCTTTCCCCTTATATTTTAAGATATTTTAGTTAGCATTAATAATTACTAATCACTTACAGTGCTCTGGCCACTGAGCTAAGTGCTTTACAAGTATTTCCTCATTTAATGGTCACATCAGCCCTTCAAGAAGAATGATTGCTCCCTTTGTAAAGATGAGGAAACTGAGGACTCAGAGACATTAATGGACATATCCAAGGCATAATAAGAGGTAGAGGTAAGATCTGAAACCAGGAGACTGTCTCCTGAGTTTGAGTTCTTGACCATTTTTCTGTACTGCCTTTACTGAGATGACCTTTCTCACTGCTCCCTTTGTTCACACATTCCCAGTCTAAATTGATTGATTACAATTTTCAGCTGAACTCAGCTCCAAGTCACAGCTGCAAACTCCTGTTCTGCATCGTCCTTCACCGAAGCTATGATAAAAAGCTTTGAGACCTGACTGCATGGGGCGTGGAATAAAGTGTTCAAACTAGAGGAATAAAAACTGTCATTTGGCCTTTTCCTCTTCCAGGGGTCCCTTCCACACTAAGGCTACAGTTACAACTTCTCTGTCATCAATGTGCTATATGTTGTTTCTGCCACCCCCTGTGGCAGTGCAGTGGTTGTGAACATTTACAGGCTTTCATCACAGTGATCAGTCCCGGAAGTGGGCATCCTTTTATTATCAATCCATAAAGCACAGACCACAGATGGCCTTAGGTGGAACCTAGGTCTAGGCCTCAGTGTTGTATAATTCCAGGGCGTGTTGTCTACAAGGGGTACAATGTGAAGAGTGCTCCCTAGAGTTGTGCAACCTGTAGGCTGTAGAGCACTCAACTGGCCTCCTGTGTCAGGCTTTATTTCACTCCACAGGTGATCCATGCTCTAGGGCAATCATGGCATCCTGAGCATTTTGTCTGTACTCATTGCAAAGAAGAGATTGGCTCCAGTCCCTTCTTTGAGCGGAGTGGCTTGGCCTACTGCCCCAACGACTACCACCAACTTTTTTCTCCACGCTGTGCTTACTGCGCTGCTCCCATCCTGGATGTAAGTAAATCCCCGCTCCTCTCCAGCTTTCAGTCACTCACTTAGAACCAGAGTCATGCTTTACAACTTCTGCATCATTATAATATCTGTGTGTTCCCTTTCCAGAAAGTGCTGACAGCAATGAACCAGACCTGGCACCCAGAGCACTTCTTCTGCTCTCACTGCGGAGAGGTGTTTGGTGCAGAAGGTATGACCCGACTTGAGAGGCTGTATCCCACACCCCAGTGGGTAGTTATAAGACCAGCAACACCTTTCCTGGTAGTCACGGGAGTCCTGGTTCCTATCAGTACTATCAAAGTGCCCATTTCAGTACTAGATACCATCCCTCCCTACCTTTCTCCAACATTTATAATTTCCCTTTAAATTGATTTTTTAAATCACAGAAATACAAATGCATAGTTTAAAAACTCAAATATTACTTCAAGGGTAATATTGAAAAAGCCTTTTCTTGTTGAATATTGAAAAAGTCCCTTTCTCATCTCCAAATCCAGTTCTCCTCTCCAAATTATTTTAGCTGTTTCTTCTGATATTTACTTATTTTTTGTTGTTGTTGTTGTTTGTTTTTTTGAGACGGAGTCTCACTGTGTTGCCCAGGCTGGAGTGCAGTGGTGCGATCTCTGGTGCGATCTCCGCCCACTGCAACCTCCACCTCCTGGGTTCAAGCGATTCTCCTGCCTCAGCCTCCCAAGTAGCTGGGACTACAGGCACTTGCCACCACACCCGGTTAATTTTTGTATTTTTAGTAGGGACAATGTTTCACCATATTGGCCAGGCTGGTCTTGAACTCCTGACCTCGTGATCCGCCCGCCTTGGCCTCCCAAAGTGCTGGCATTACAGGCATGAACTACTGCGCCTGGCCTGCTTATGTGTTTTAAATAATAACTTTATATTGTTATAGATTGTTTTATTTTTCCAGTTTTAACCATTATGTATTGACTGTCTAAGAGGGAAGATGAGGTTTAGAAATGTTATTATTACCCCACTCACTCCTAACATATTTCCCCTCCCCTGTTTTTTCAATATATAATTATGTCATAATTACAGGTTAGATCAGTATTAAGTGTGCATATGTTGACAATCATAGAATACTGCTCACAAGTAAGCCATGTAGCAAACTGACTACACTAGAGTCTGGATTTTAGAGTCAGACTTCCAGGTTCAAATCTGGGTTGTGGTATTTGTTCAAGTCATTTAACATCTCTGTACCTTACTTTCCTCATCAGTAAAATAGTCCTAATGAAATTGCCTACCTTATAGGGTTGTTATGAGGATTTAGAGACAATACAAGCGTGGTATTTAGAATAGTGCCAAGCACATGGAGGTATAGTAGTGTTAATATTATTATCACAGTGTCCTTTTGGTATAAATTCATTTTTTTCTAAAGTTAACATTTGAATCCTTTTTGAAATTGGCTTAGTTTTTATTGTACTTATCACTAAGTTATGCAACAGAACTGTGAAATTCTTTTCAAAATGGCCAACTACATCTGGCAACAAGTCAGTTTCTTTCTTTTCTTTTTTTTTTTTCTGGAGATATCCCTCCAGGAGACTTTCCTCCTCCTGATTCAACATGAAATGATTTCTTCCTGCTGAGTAGCAGTCATTCTGGTTCATTAACTTAGAATTATATCTAGTAATTACTCTTGGAAATTCCTTTTATTAGTTTCCTCTTTGGATGCTCTGTTTCCTGGGTCCCATGTCTATGTTTTATACATGTTACCACCTTTATTTTGGTGGGGAACATCCCCTAGTAGCTTTCTGAGAAAGAATTTTTGAGAACTTGAATATCTGAAAATATTTTTATTCTGTCATTGCCCTTAAGTTGCCTGGGCATAGAATTCTAAGTGGAAACTATTTTCCTTCATAATTCTGAAGACATTGCTTCACTGTCTTCTAGCTTCCATGATTGGCAAGTTTTTATTAAATTTTTTTTATCCTTGATCCTTTCTACATGACCCATTCTTCCCCCTTTGTATGTTTGTTTCATGTGTTTTCTGAATTGTCTTGTTTTTTTTAATTTCTCCTTTTTATGTTTGTTTTGAACAAATATGGAATCAGAAAGCTGCTTTACTTTGTTTTTCTCCTGTCCTTTTAGAATGAACTCAGTGGGGAAGGATTTCTCCTCTCATAAATAAAAGCTTGTGCAGTCCTCTGTCTTTTCTGATTACTGTTAAAAAACAGTTCTAAATATAAAATCAATTTAAGAAACAAAACACAAAAACTAAGCCATTAGGTAATTCAGTCTGTGTAATAGTTAAGGCTTCCAGCACTTTAAAAGTGACAGCCACTCCCTCTCTTTTTTAGGACCTTCAAGCTGCAGGAGGCGAGGACAGGGGTATGGCCTTTCCTCTCTCCTGACCTCGCTTTGTTATCTACCACCCTCACCCTTATTGCCAGCCTTGACACCTGCCTGCTCTAGGGTTGAAACACTAGGGAGGATGGAGATGAGAATAGAAGGCAGGAAGGTCTAACTTGTCTAGGATTGTTGTTAAATTGGCTTTATGCTCTCCAGGCTCAGCCAGTGTTTAGCTCTGACTTTTTTCCCTGAATTCTTTTCGGGATTAAGACAGGTCCAGCAGTGAACTCTTGATTGCCCTTTACGTGTCTTGACTAGCTATTCTCTCCTTGTCATGTTTCTTTGAGGATTTGTTTTGTAAAGATTCTTTTTTCAAGGGGCTTTCATTGTTCCCTCCTAGTGAACCCTTAGAAATTATTAACATCGTTCCAGATAATCTCTTCCTCTCATATTTTCATAGAAGGACCATGGATAACTTACTCTTTTCTCTGACAGCCAGTGGAGTTATAATTTTTAGCTGCATGTTTCTATTCAGCTGCCATAGGCTCTTTCAGCCAGACTCATCTATGGACTTTTTCCAGGGGTAACTCTGATACCACTAACTGCATCTCACTAATGCCAAGGCACACATATCCAACTCTCTGAGTCGTCCCAGTGAAGTCCCTCTTTTAACCTGAGGTTATCAAGAACTATACCTCATCTTTCTTGGTGGTGATGGGGCACTCATAGCACAGTTTTCTTCAAAGGAATCCTTCTCTCAGTTTTCCTTTTTCTTTACCTGTTTTCTCCTGAACAAGAGTGAGGAATTCCAGAATTGTACAAGTAATCTTTGACTACCTGTTTGGAGGGATGTTTTGCAGTTCAATTTGGAATTTGATATATATTACATCTTGGTGCCTTACATTTGTTTACACTGGTCTTTCCCAATACTGCTGATCCATGGTTGTCTGTTACTATTTAAGAATGAGACACTAAAATGCTAATTGCAAACTCCATGGATATAGACAGAAATTGTTGACTGGTAGACTTGACTATATGGTACTCAGGTAAGATACTCTGGCCATTTTGTTGAGTGACTCCTGAATATGACAATCTTAGGTCTTTTCTGTTGAGTCAATTATGCTAAAGAGATGTTCTCTTTGCCAGAATTCTGAGATTGAAAAAGGGGATGGGGGAATGGGCTTTTCACCATTCAGCATGTCAACTTTTACTTAATTCCCATTTTTCAGTAGAGAGCTTGACTCGTTTCCTCATGGTGTCCAACATCTCTGATCACTGAGACTCTCTTGTTCAATATTTACAGAAATAATCATTGCATCTTACGGTAAGATAAGGCATCTAACTTTCTAATGGTTCTTTAGACTTTCAACCAGTCCTGTTTCTAGCCTTGAAGAGTATCTCATGCATTCAGTTCCTGAGCCCCTCTGATGTTATCATATTCAAGATGGCTTGATTTTTATTGGCCTCTCCCATCTGTGGAGACGTAAGTTCCAGTTTTCTTATTTATGTTAAGCCAGGTACCACTCTTAAAATCTACTTTAAATTCTTGAAAATTTAGTTAATATCTCATCTGGTGGCATATCCTTTACTTTTTTCTCTTTCCTTATGGCTCTTTATAATTTACATAATTTCTTAACTGTCATGTTAATGATGTTTCAGGAGGGAGTAAAGAAAATCCCATGTGTTTAGGCCCTTTTACTAATATGGAGACTTTCCTAAATATCAGGCATATTATTATGTATATGGTTAAAAATAATTTATATGATGCCATCACAGTCTGTGAGAGCAAGTTTATTCAACATTTTACCTAGTTATAGATGAGTCTCAGGTAGGTAAAGTGATTTTCTTAAAGTCACACAGTTAGAAAGTTGAAGAGGCAAGATTTCAACTTGGGTATCATTTCTGCAAGTTCCATGTTTTTTATAAAACATCACAACTGCCTTTTGACTGAAATTCAATTCCTCTTCGGCTGTTGGATCTCTTTACTTTTGTGGTACCAACACGATATGCTTTATTTGACAATAGACCCAGATACAGTGGTGCTGACAGAATCCACTAGCAAAGTGCTCTGTAGTAATTTGCTTGTTCACTGGAGCTTGCTCAATGCTTTTTCACAAATCATTAGGTATTTCATTTCTAGATGGTATTTTACCTAAGCAGCATTTTTCATTGACACTTAATCCAAATCATCTTAAATTGTGTCACAATAAATTTATATTGTACTGGTAGCCATAAAAGTCTGAGAATTAGTTGAGTACAACAGTCAACAAGTGAATACTGCCTATGGATCATTATGATGGAGAAGTTGCCTGAAAGCAGAACAACAGGACATAGGCACATTTCAGGTAGAGACATAAGTTAGATACACACACAAAAAAATACCCAATCCATAGGATGACCAGAAAGCACCATTAAGGTAGCTAGTTCTCATTTTCTTGACTCAGGCCCCTTCTAAACAGACAGGGCTGATGGGGTCATTTATGGCTTTATATAAACAGGAAACAACACTTAAAACATATTTATACATAGAGCCACATGACAAAAAGTGACATTTATTGATCAGAAGCTCCACTTGGGTTGTATTTTCCTTTTTATGCCTGGCTTTCTGTAAAAAGGTCTCCTGCCATATGATCAGTTCATTAATTAGGTGTCATCCTGCCTCACCCCAAGTTAGATAGTCACAAAGAGTTTCTATAATGACAGTTTAACCTCTGAGCCTCCTGGGAAATTAAATTCATCTGCATTTTTTCATCAGTCCAAAGAATTCCTCTTTAAGGCTCAAGTCATTGGTCCTTGGCATCCTCCCACAGGGATGAGCTCTTCAATGTCTACCTGTGTTTCTTTTTAATTGTTCATTATCCAGGTCATGCAGGTGCTCCCTAATTTCCCCTGTGGCTAAGAGCCTCACCAGAGTATAAACACTCTCCCTCTTTTTGTGGCACTTTTAATTGTCAGTATTTCTCATTCTTCCTCTAGAGGTAATTGGTCCCAAAGAGATCCTCCAAGAAAGCAAGAGCTGAAACTTTCTTAATTTATTAGATTATGAAATGCAGGGGTATCACAGCAAGTTTGGGTGATTGCTTTTGATTTCTTTCCTGAGATTTACCCAAGTTGAAACAGAGGCTGTTACTCCCCTGCTATCCCACTCTCGAAACCAGCTGTCCAGCAGATGCCTAGATGAGGGTCATTTCTCAGATAGTTGGCATGTCTTACAGTTTTCTCAAGTAATGCCTACCTATAGGCAAGCTCAGTTTTGTGTCATTTGCTTTATGCAGCATCAGCATCACCTGGGGACTTGTTAGAAATGCAAAATCTTGGGCCCCATCCCAGACCCATTGAATCAAAAACTCAGGGTGGAAGACCCAGCAATCTGCATTTTATCAAGTTCCCAGATGAATAATGCACACTAAAGTTTGAGAAACACTATTATGCTACACAAAATTGAGACAGGTGGTTGCAGGTATTTGTTTTTCTTAAATAGTAGGACTTACGGTATTCAGTTTCCCTTGAATAGACCCTAGACATCATTTGACAGAGTAAATAAAAAGTAAAGTGAGCTCTTCTGTGTCTCAGGGGTTTAGAGGAAGAACACAGGACAGCATATAAAATTACTAGTTTAGATTCAGATCTGTAGGCCTCAAAATTCTGCTAAATTGTCTGCTTTTTAAAGAAAGCAAAGTTGAACAAAGCAAGGCATGTGAAAAAGTGATGAGGTAATGGAAAAACTGCAGCTATATGGTTTGGTTCCCAACACCTAGCTGCTTCTATTGTCATGTTGTGATCTGGCTGCTATTATCAAAGCTGATTTCTAGAAATAGTGTTTTCTAGATAGTCTGCTTTACAGAACACTGTGCATGCTTTGCTTACATGCTGTCTTAGTGGGGAAGAGGTAGAACTCTCATATTTACAAAATTATTGGGCTATTTGTGCTCAGCTGATACTGTCAGTTCCCACAGAGATGTCAAAGTCAGGATGCATTTAAGTTAGAGGTATAACATTGAAGTTAGGCTTTGAAGTTAGGCCTAGATTTCAATCTCAGCTCCTCTACTGACTAGTCAGGTGTAAATTCTCTAAGCTGTCTTTTTGCATTTGTTAAATGAGGCTAAAGCCTACTTCAGAAGTTTGCTCTGAAAAAATCTCATTTTAATTTAGTACTGTAGACAGAGCCTTCAGTGGAACCAGTACAATGCAGATGATCCATAAATGGGATTGCTGATAATATAGTCTTCATTTTAGGTGTCTCTCTAAGTAAATACTAAGGAGGGATTCTTACGTAAAAGTTAATCTATTTATGCATATTCTAGTCAATGCTGAAGTGAGACTCTAAATTGCAATATACTCGGGAGCAGATGATCTCAATTTTGCTATTGTAATATTTTTCTTATGTCAGCTCATTCAATAGATATTTATTGAGCAACTACTATATATGTGTCAAGCATTATTCAAAGTACTAGGGATATAGTGACAAAAAGGAAAGTTCTTGCCCTCATGATTAATGTATTCTGGTGGAGGAGACAAACAGTAATCAAACTAGCCAACTAACTACGACCTACTCTGCATGGCGAGAGAGAGAGTGATTAGGTAGTATTTGAGACACAGTGGTTGAGTCACTTGTTCTCTTAAGCAGACCCCTGAGGTAAGCAAAGGACTAAGCCATTTGGGTATCTCAGGGAAGTGAGTTTCAAAACAGAGCAAATATATCACTTGAATAAGTGCTTAAGGATTAATTAGTTAATTTTGTTGTAAGTGTAAAGACAATAAAAAGACCTTGCAGAAACGTTTGTTTTTAACTTATTACCCTATTAACCTAAAGCAATACAGAAAACTTTTCCTACCAATGTTTTTCTACATTTATTCATGTATGTGTGCACACATAAGTTATTGTGTGCCTAAAATTCTTTTTTTATACTTAAGCATTTCTCCATGTTGTTTCATCATAATTTCATAATAGTTTTATAATAATTTTAACATTATCAATTATTCCATTAGGGATTTATGTAAATAAACAAAAAATAAAATGCTATATGCCTAAAGATTTTCACTGAAGCATTATTATAGTTCCAAACATTGGAAACAACTAAATGTATTAACAATAGTATCATATTTAGATTACTTCTGGTGTTTAGTAGTACTATAATAAATATCATTAAACATAATGTTTTCTTCTTCTGAATTATTTGTATTAATTAATTCCTAGGACTTAGATGTCTACATCTTTTTTAAAAAAAACCTTGATGTAGATTATCAAGTGACTCTCCAAAAGAATAATACAGTTAATATTATTACCAGGAATATATGAATATATGGATCATTCCATATATCTTCCAGTATTGAGTATATTTATTTAACACTGTTTTTACTACTTAGCTAAAATTAGAAATTCAACTACTAATTAGCAAAAATTACAACTTCATTGTTTTCTTTTGAGTTTCCTGACTTATAATGTCCAACATATTATTATTTTTTTTCTTTTCTATTTTTATTATTATTATACTTTAAGTTTTAGGGTACATGTGCACAATGTGCAGGTTAGTTACATATGTATACATGTGCCATGCTGGTGTGCTGCACCCATTAACTCGTCATTTAGCATTAGGTATATCTCCTAATGCTATCCCTCCCCACTCCCCCCACCCCACAACAGTCCTCAGAGTGTGACGTTCCCCTTCCTGTGTCCATGTGTTCTCATTGTTCAATTCCCATCTATGAGTGAGAACATGCGGTGTTTGGTTTTTTGTCCTTGAGATAGTTTACTGAGAATGATGATTTCCAATTTCATCCATGTCCCTACAAAGGACATGAACTCACCATTTTTTATGGCTGCACAGTATTTCATGGTGTATTTGTGCCACATTTTCTTAATCCAGTCTATCATTGTTGGACATTTGGGTTGGTTCCAAGTCTTTGCTATTGTGAATAATGCCAGAATAAACATACGTGTGCATGTGTCTTTATAGCAGCATGATTTGTAGTCCTTTGGGTATATACCTAGTAATGGGATGGCTGGGTCAAATGGTATTTCTAGTTCTAGATCCCTGAGGAATCGCCACACTGACTTCCACAATGGTTGAACTAGTTTACAGTCCCACCAACAGTGTAAAAGTGTTCCTATTTCTCCACATCCTCTCCAGCACCTGTTGTTTCCTGACTTTTTAATGATTGCCATTCTAACTGGTGTGAGATGGTATCTCATTGTGGTTTTGATTTGCATTTCTCTGATGGCCAGTGATGATGAGCATTTTTCCATGTGTCTTTTGCCTGCATAAATGTCTTCTTTTGAGAAGTGTCTGTTCATATCCTTTGCCCACTTTTTGATGGGGTTGTTTGTTTTTTTGTTGTAAATTTGTTTGAGTTCATTGTAGATTCTGGATATTAGCCCTTTGTCACATGAGTAGGTTGTGAAAATTTTCTCCCATTTTGTAAGTTGCCTGTTCACTCTGATGGTAGTTTCTTTTGCTGTGCAGAAGCTCCTTAGTTTAATTAGATCCCATTTGTCTATTTTGGCTTTTGTTGCCATTGCTTTTTTTGTTTTAGACATGAAGTCCTTGCCCATGCCTGTGTCCTGAATGGTAATGCCTAGGTTTTCTTCTAGGGTTTTTATGGTTTTAGGTCTAACATGTAAGTCTTTAATCCATCTTGAATTAATTTTTGTATAAGGTGTAAGGAAGGGATCCAGTTTCAGCTTTTTACATATGACTAGCCAGTTTTCCCAGCACCATTTATTAAATGGGGAATCCTTCCCCATTGCTTGTTTTTGTCAGGTTTGTCAAAGATCAGATAGTTGAAAAGTATTTATTTTGCGGCTATTCATTGATTTGTGAGGTGCACTTGTTTTAAAAGGTTTTAAAAAGCAATCACCGTGAGTTTCTCATTCTCAGTGTAGCTCCATTACCTGGACATGGGATCAGTAAGACTCAAGCCAAGAATTTTCTAATATGTGTCTTAACAGTGAAAATTTCATGTATTAAAGAGAAAGTTCTTATACCTCAACAAATTGCTTTTTAAATGTTTTTATTATAGTACAGTCTAAACATAAATGTGCTTCCTTACCTAGCTTCAGTAAGTATAAGTGTTTTGCCAAATGGATTCCTCTATTAACCTTCACCCATCCATCCACATTTTTTCTTGCTGGAATATTAAGAAGCAAGTTTAGAAGTCATGTAATCTCATCATTAAATACTTCGGCATGCATCACTTTTAGCTGAGAAGGTCTTTTTAAAAACTACCTTTATGCTTAACAAATTAAGAATTTCTTATTATCATTTACAATTCCTATTCAGATTTCTAAGAAAATATCACAGGCTTGGTTTGCTTGAATCAGGATCTCAGCAAGGTCAGTGCATTGCATTTTGCTGTTTTGTCTCTCAAATTTAAAAAATTCTATTATTAGTCCTCTCTTTGCTGCTTTTTTATACTATTTATTTGTTAATGAATCCAGAACCTATATCCCATAAAATATCCCATATTCTTTATTTGACTGGCTGCTTTCTCATGATACTGTTTTTTGCTTTACTCCTGCCCCCATTTCCTATATTTTCCTTAAACTATTAGTTTAGACCTAGAGATGACTAGGTTTAGGTTCAGTTTTCGGGGGTCTGGATGACAAGAATAGGTTTCAGGTGGTGGGTGCAGTATACTTCTTGTTGAATCACATCAAGAGGTGTATAATGACTGGTTGACCACTTTTATTGATACTAACATTGACCACTAAATTTAAGCAGTGTCATCCCGATCCCTCTATTTTAAAGTTCCCCATTAATGACAATTACCTAAATCCAATGGAATAGGTAGTAAAATGCTGAGTTTTCTATTATTCCTTCCATATTTATTAGCTGAGTTCTACAAAAACTTTCTATCATCAGTTATTGGGTTATCTTGGAATATATCTCATACAGGAAAGGTGAGATAAGTGTTTGACACTTTCTATTAATAAGAGTAATGAATTAATTATAAGGGTAATGAATGGGTTCATTAACAATATCCAGTGGAGACTAATAAATTTTTATTTTTAAAAAATCATTATGAACTCATGGAGTTATATATACTTGGTATAATTTGATCTATTGAATTAGTATTTTTTAATGCTCAAATTTTTTTATCTGAGGTCAGAGGTAGCCCCTTCAATTTGGTTACTGTATCTTTCTGATATGATCCCAGTAATCTTCCTATTTCCTTGGCACAGCAAGATATATCAGGCCTAACTTGTCAACTCTGCCACATACTTGGAATCATCCATTTCTCCAAAAAGACTGCTTCATTGAGGATATTTAAAAATTAGCAGTGTTCATTATTTCTGGGATGTCATTTCTTCTAGGTTTTTCAGTGGACAGAGCTTCAGATCTACTTTTTAAGGTTTTTAAATTTTATAGAGACAGGATCTCATGCTGTCTCCCAGGCTAGAGTTCAGAGGTGCTATCATAGCTTGCTACAGCCTTGAACTCCTGGACTCAAGCGATTCTCCCACATCAGCCTTCTGAGTAGCTGGCACTACAGATGTGTACCACCAGGTCTGGCTAATTTTTTAAAATTTTTTGTAGAGAGTGGGTCTCACTACATTGCCCAGGGCTTGTCTCGAACTCCAGGCTTCAACCAGTCCTCCCGCCTCAGCCTCTCAAAGTTCTGGGATTACAGGCAGGAGCCACTGCGCCCTGATAGAATCTGTCATTGTTGTTGTTTTTTTTAAAGAAAAGTAAGTCATGAGTTCATACTAATATATCTGATATAGTATAATGATACAGTTTTTTGTTTGATTTGTTTGATTATTTGTGTCTTTTTTAATGCTGGAAATCTTGCTTTCCAAAGGCATTAATATAATTATTTGCTTTATTATGTAATCTACCTGTAATAAGTTCAAAAAATATATAAATATTGTAAATGAACAAATTATTTTTATTGTGTATATATATTGTATTATTTTATTGTATATTTTAAGGTACACAACATGATATTTTGATATACACAGTGAAATATTTATTACAGTTAGGCAAATTAACATATCCGTCCTCACTCACAGTAACCCTTTTCATGTGTATATGGTAAGAGCATCAGAATCTACTCACAGCAAATTTCCAGTATATATAAAAACAGTTTAAGACACTTCTCAAAAGAAGACATTTATGCAGCCAAAAAACACATGAAAAAATGCTCACCATCACTGGCCATCAGAGAAATGCAAATCAAAACCACAATGAGATACCATCTCACACCAGTTAGAATGGCAATCATTAAAAAGTCAGGAAACAACAGGTGCTGGAGAGGATGTGGAGAAATAGGAACACTTTTACACTGTTGGTGGGACTGTAAACTAGTTCAACCATTGTGGAAGTCAGTGTGGCGATTCCTCAGGGATCTAGAACTAGAAATACCATTTGGCCCAGCCACCCCATTACTGGGTATATACCCAAAGGACTATAAATCATGCTGCTATAAAGACACATGCACACGTATGTTTATGGCGGCACTATTCACAATAGCAAAGACTTGGAACCAACCCAAATGTCCATCAGTGATAGACTGGATTAAGAAAATGTGGCACATATACACCATGGAATACTGTGCAGCCATAAAAAATGATGAGTTCATGTCCTTTGTAGGGACATGGATGAAATTGGAAATCATCATTCTCAGTAAACTATCGCAAGGACAAAAAACCAAACGCCACATGTTCTCACTCATAGGTGGGAATTGAACAGTGAGAACACATGGACACAGGAAGAGGAACATCACACTCTGGGGACTGTTGTGGGGTGGGGGGAGGGGGGAGGGATAGCTTTAGGAGATATACCTAATGCTAAATGACGAGTTAATGGGTGCAGCACACCAGCATGGCACATGTATACATATGTAACTAACGTGCACATTGTGCACATGTACCCTAAAACTTAAAGTATAATAATAATAAAATAAAATAAAATATTTCTTTGTAGCTTGTTTTGTCTTTAGATTGCATCATTAGGACTGTACACTCTGAACACTATCATTTAAAGTTACTTGAATGAACTATTTCGTTTTTATTATTATTATACTTTAAGTTCTGGTGTACATGTGCAGAATGTGCAGGTTTGTTACATAGGTATACACGTGCCATGGTGGTTTGCTGCACCCATCAACCCATCATCTACATTAGGTATTTCTCCTAATGCTATCCCTCCCCTAGTCCCCTGCCTCCATCAGGCCCCAGTGTGTGATGTTCCCCTCCCTGTGGCCATGTGTTCTCATTGTTCAACTCCCACTTATGAGTGAGAACATGCGGTGTTTGGTTTTCTGTTCCTGTGTTAGTTTGCTGAGAATGATGGTTTCCAGCTTCATCCATGTCCCTGCAAAGGACATGAACTCATTCTTTTTTATGGCTGTATTTTATTCCATGGTGTATATGTGCCACATTTTCTTTATCCAGACTATCATTGATGGGCATTTGGGTTGGTTCCAAGTCTTTGCTTTTGTGAATAGTACTGCAATAAGCATATGTGTGCATGTGTCTTTATGGTAGAATGATTTATAATGCTTTGGGTATATACCCAGTAATGGGATTGCTGAGTCAAATGGTATTCCTGGTTCTAGATCCTTGAGGAATCACCACATAGTCTTCCACAATGGTTGAACTAATTTACACTCCCACCAACAGTGTAAAAGCATTCCTATTTCTCCATATCCTCTCCAGCATCTGTTGTTTCCTGACTTTTTAATGATCGCCTTTCTAACTGGCGTGAGATGGTATCTCATTATGGTTTTGATTTGCATTTCTCTAATGACCAGTGATGATGAGCTTTTTTTTTTCATATGTTTATTGGCTACATAAATGTCTTCTTTTGAGAAGTGTGTGTTCATATCCTTCAGTCACTTTTTGATGGGGTTGTTTTTTTTTCTTGTAAATTTGTTTAAGTTCTTTGTAGATTCTAGATATTAGCCCTTTGTCAGATGGATAGATTGCAAAAATTTTCTCCAATTTTGTAGATTGCCTGTTCACTCTGATGATAGTTTATTTTGCTGTGCAGAAGCTCTTTAATTTAATTAGATCCCATTTGTCTATTTTGGCTTTTGTAGCCATTGCTTTTGGTGTTTTAGTCATGAAGTCTTTGTCTATGCCTGTGTCCTGAATGGTATTGCCTAGGTTTTCTTCTAGGAATTTTATGGTTTTAGGTCTTACGTTTAAATCTTTAATCCATGTTGAGTTAATTTTTGTATAAGGTGTAAGGAAGGGGTCCAGTTTCAGTTTTCTGCATATGGCTAGCCAGTTTTCCCAACACCATTTATTAAATAGGGAATCCTTTCCCTGTTGCTTGTTTTTGTCAAGTTTGTCAAAGATCAGATGGTTGTAGATGTGTGGTGTTATTTCTGAGGCCTTTGTTCTGTCCATTGATCTATATATCTGTTTTGGTACCAGTACCATGCTGTTTTTGTTACTGTAGCCTTGTAGTATAGTTTGAAGTCAGGTAGCATGATGCCTCCAGCTTTGTTCTTTTTGCTTAGGATTGTCTTGGCTATGCAGGCTCTATTTTGGTTCCATATGAAATTTAAAGTAGTTTTTTCTAATTCTATGAAGAAAGTCAATGGTAGCTTGATGGGGATAGCATTGAATGCATAAATTACTTTGGGCAGTATGGCCATTTTCACGATATTGGTTCTTCCTATCCAGAAGCATGGAATATTTTTCCATTTGATTGTGTCCTGTTTTATTTCCTTGAACAGTGGTTTGTAGTTCTCCTTGAATAGGTCCTTCACATCCCTTGTAAGTTGTATTCCAAGGTATTTAATTCTGTATAGCAATTGTGAATGAGTTTCACTCATGATTTCGCTGTCTATTATTGGCGTATAGGAATGCTTGTGATTTTTGCGCATTGATTTTGTGTCCTGAGACTTTGCTGAAGTTGCTTATCAGCTTTAGGAGATTTTGGGTTGAGATGATGGGGTTTTCTAAATATACAATCATGTCATCTGCAAACAGAGACAATTTGACTTCCTCTTTTCCTATGTGAGTACCCTTTATTTCTTTCTGTTGCCTGATTGCCCTAGCGAGAACTTCCAACACTATGTTGAATATGAGTGGTGAGAGACGGCATCCCTGTCTTGTGCCAGTTTTCAAAGGGAATGCTTCCAGGTTTTGCCCATTCAATATGATATTGGCTGTGGGTTTGTCATAGATAGCTCTTATTATTTTGAGATACATTCCATCAATACCTAGTTTATTAAGAGATTTTATCATGAAGGGGTGTTAAATTTTATCAAAGGCCTTTTCTGTATCTATTGAGATAATCATGGTTTTTGTCATTGTTTCTGTTTATGAGATGGATTATGTTTATTGATTTGTGTATGTTGAACCAGCCTTGCGTCCCAGGTATGAAGCTGACTTGATCGTGGCGGATAAGCTTTTTGATATGCTGCTGGATTCAGTTTGCCAATATTTTATCGAGGATTTTCACATTGATGTTCATCAGGGATATTGGCCTGAAGTTTTCTTTTTTTGTTGTGTCTCTGCCGTGTTTTGGTATTAGCATGATGCTGGCCTCATAAAAATGAGTTAGGGAGGATTCCCCCTTTTTCTATTGTTTGGAATAATTTCAGAGGCAATGGTATCAGCTCCTTTTTGTACCTCTGGTAGAATTCTGCTGTGAATCCACCTGGTCCCGGACTTTTTTTTGGTCGGTAGGCTATTAATTACTGCCTCAATTTCAGAACTTGTTGTTGGTCTATCCAGGGATCTGACTTCTTCCTGGTCTAGACTTGGGAGAGTGTAGTGTCCAGGAATTTATCCATTTCTTCTAGATTTTCTAGTTTATTTGTATAGAGGTGTTTACAGTATTCTCTGATTGTAGTTTGTATTTCTGTGGGATCAGTAGTGATAACCCCTTTATCATTTTTTTGTGTCTATTTGATTCTTCTCTCTTTTTTTCTTTATTAGTGTGGCTAGTAGTCTATCTATTTTGTTGATCATTTCAAAAAACCACCTCCGGGATTCATTGATTGTTTGAAGGGTTTTTCATTCTCTATCTCCTTCAGTTCTGCTCTGATCTTAGTTATTTCTTGTCTCCTGATAGCTTTTTAATTTGTTTGCTCTTGCTTCTCTAGTTCTTTTAATGTGATTTTAGGGTGTCGATTTTAGATCTTTCCTGCTTTCTCTTGTGGGCATTTAGTGCTATAAATTTCCCTCTACACACTGCTTTAAATGTGTCCCAGAGATTCTGGTACTTTGTGTCTTTGTTTTCATTGGCTTCAAATAACTTCTTTCTTTCTGCCTTAATTTTTTTATTTACCCAGTAGTCGTTCAGGAGCAGGTTTTCAGTTTCCATGTAGTTGTGCGGTTTTGAGAGAGTTTCTTACTCCTGAGTTCTAATTTGATTGCACTGTGGTCTGAGAGACTGTTTGCTATGATTTCTGTTCTTTTGCATTTGCTGAGGCGTGTTTTACTTACAATTACATAGTCGATTTTAGAATAAATATGATGTGGTGCTGACAAGAATGTATATTCTGTTGATTTCGGGTGGAGAGTTGTATAGATGTCTATCAGGTCTGCTTGGCCAAGAGCTGAGTTCAAGTCCTGAATATCCTTGTTAATTTTCTGTCTCATTGATCTGTCTAATATTGACAGTGGGGTGTTAAAGTCTCCCACTATTATTGTGTGGAAGTCTAAGAGTCTTTGTAGGTCTCTAAGAACTTGCTTTATGAATCTGGGTGCTCCTGTATTGGGTGCATATATAATTAGGATAGTTAGTTCTTCCTGTTGCATTAATCCCTTTACCATTATGTAATGCCCATCTTTGTCTCTTTTGATCTTTGTTGGTTTAAAGTCTTTTTTATCAGAGACTAGAATTGCAACCCCTGCTTTTTTTTTTCTTTCCGTTTACTTGGTAAATATTCCTTCATCCCTTTATTTTGAGCCTATGTGTGTCTTTGCATGTGAGATGGGTCTCCTGAATACAGCACACCAATGAGTCTTGCCTCTTTATCCAATTTGCCAGTCTGTGTGTCTTAATTGGGACATTTAGTCCATTTACATTTAAGGTTAATCTTGTTATGTGTGAATTTGATCTGGTAATTATGATGCTAGCTGGTTATTTTGAAGAACTGTTATGAACAGTTTCTTCATAGCATCTATGGTCTTTACAATTTGGTATGTTTTTGCAGTGACTGGTACCAGTTATTCCTTTCTGTGTTTAGTGCTTCCTTCAGGAGCTCTTGTAAGGCAGGCCTGGTGGTAGTAAAGTCTCTCAGCATTTGCTTGTCTGTAAATAATTTTATTTCTCTTTTGTTTACGAAGCTTAGTTTGGCTGGATATGAAATTCTGGGTTGAAAATGCTTTTAAGAATGTTGAATATTGGCCCCCACTCTCTTCTGGCTTGTACAGTTTCTGCCAAGAGATCCGCTGTTAGTCTGATGGGCTTCCCTTTGTGGGTTACCCAACCTTTCTCTTTGGCTGCACTTAACATTTTTTCCTTCATTTTGTGTCCGAAATTGGTGGGTTCTTGGTCTCACTGACTTCAAGAATGAAGCCGCGGACCCTTGCGGTGAGTGTTACAGTTCTTAAAGATGGTGTGTCCGGAGTTTGTTCCTTCTGATGTTCAGACATGTTCGGAGTTTCTTCTTTCTGATGGGTTTGTGGTTTCGCTGGCTTCAGGAGTGAAGCTGCAGACCTTCACGGTGAGTGTTACAGCTCTTAAGGCGGTGCGTCTGGAGTTGCTCATTCCTCCCATCTGGAGTTGTTCATTCCTCCTGGTGGATTCGTGGTCTCGCTGGCCTCAGGAGTGAAGCTGCAGACCTTCGCGGTGAGTGTTACAGCTCATAAAGGCAGTGCGGACCCAAAGAGTGAGCAGCAGCAAGATTTATTGCAAAGAGTGAAAGAACAAAACTTCTACAGTGTGGAAGGGGACCCAAGTGGGTTGCCACTGCTGGCTCGGGCAGCCTGCTTTTATTCCCTTATCTGGCCCCACCCACATCTTGCTAATTGGTGCATTTTACAGAGAGCTGATTGGTCCATTTTACAGAGAGCTGTTTGGTCTGTCTTGACAGGGTGCTGACTGGTGCATTTACAATCCCTGAGCTAGACACAGAGTGCTGATTGGTGCATTTACAATCCTCTAGCTAGACACAAAAGTTCTCCAAGTCCCCACTAGATTAGCTAGACACAGAGCACTGATTGGTGCATTTACAAACCTTTAGCTAGACACAGAGTGCTGATGGGTGCATTTACAATCCCTGAGCCAGACACAGAGTGCTGATTGGTGCATTTACAATCCTCTAGCTAGACATAAAAGTTATCCAAGTCCCCACCTGACTCAGGAGCCCAGCTGGCTTCGCCTAGTGGATCCCATGCCAGGGCTGCGGGCGGAGCTGCCCTCCAGTCTCGTGCCGTGCGCCCACACTCCTCAGCCCTTGGGCGGTCGATGGGACTGGGCGCCTCGGAGCAGGGGGCAGCACCTGTCGGGGAGGCTTGGGCTGCATGGGAGCCCACTGTGGGGGTCTCGGGCATGGCGGGCTGCAGATCCCAAGCCCTGCGCCACAGGGAGGCAGCTGAGGCCTGGCAAGAATTCGAGCATGACACAGGTGGGCCAGCAGTGCTAGGGGACCCAGTGCACCCTCCGCAGCTGCTGTCTCAGTTGCTAATCCTCTCACTGCCTGGGGCTGGCGGTGCTGGCCGGCCACTCTGAGTGCGGGGCCTGCTGATCCCGTGCTACCCGAAACTCGTGCTGGCCCACGAGCACCGCATGCAGCCCCAGTTCCTGCCCGTGCCTCTCCGTCCACACCTCCCCGCAGGCAGAGGGAGCTGGCTCCAGCCTCAGCCAGCCCAGAGTGGGGCTCCCACAGTGCAGCGGCAGGCTGAAGGGCTCCTCAAGCGTGGCCAGAGTGGATGCCGAGGCCAAGGACGTGCCAAGAGCGAGCAAGGGTTGCAAGCACATTGTCACCTCAATTTCAACCTTGGTGAATCTGATGATTATGTGTCTTGGGGTTGCTCTTCTTGAGGAGTATCTTTGTGGTGTTCTCTGTATTTCCTGAATTTGAATGTTGGCCTGTCTTGCTAGGTTGAGGAAGTTCTCCTGGATAATATCCTGAAGAGTGTTTTTCAGCTTGGTTCCATTCTCCCCATAACTTTCAGGTACACCAGTCAAACGTAGATTTGTTTTTTTCACATAGTCCCATATTTCTTGGAGGCTTTATTCATTCCTTTTCATTCTTTTTTCTCTAATCTTGTCCTCTTGCTTTATTTCATTAAGTTGACCTTCAATCTCTTATATCCTTTCTTCTGCTTGATCAATTCAGCTATTGATACTTGTGTATGCTTCACAAAGTTCTTGTGCTATATTTTTCAGCTCCATCAGGTCATGTATGTTCTTCTCTAAACTGGTTATTCTAGTTAGCAATTTGTCTAACCTGTTTTCAAGGTTCTTAGCTTCCTTGCATTGGGTTAGAACATGCTCCTTTATAAAGCTCGGAGGAGTTTGTTATTACCCACCTTCTGAAGCCTACTTCTATCAGTTCGTCAGACTCATTCTTCATCCAGTTTTGTTCCCTTGGTGTTGAGGAGTTGTGATCCTTTGGAGAAGAGGCATTCTGGTTTTTGGGATTTTCACCCTTTTTGCATTGGTTTCTCCCCATCTTCTTGAGTGTTTCTACGTTTGGTCTTTGAAGTTGGTGACCTTCAGATGGAGTGTCTGAGTGGATGTCCTTTCTGTTGATGTTGATGCTATTCCTTTCTGTTTGTTAGTTTTCCTTCTAACAGTCAGGCTCCTCTGCTACAAGTCCACGGGAGTTTGCTGGAGGTCGACTCCAGACCCTGTTTGCCTGGGTATTAGCAGCAGAGGCTGCAGAACAGCAAAGATTGCTGCCTGTTCCTTCCTTTGGAAGCTTCATCCCAGCAGGGCACCCACCAGATGCCAGCCAGAGCTCTCCTGTATGAGGTGTCAGTTAGCCCCTATTGGGAGGTGTCTCCCAATCAGGAGACACGGGGGCCACAGACCCACTCAAGGAGGCAGTCTGACCCTTAGCAGAGCTCGAACCCTGTGCTGGGAGATCCACTGCTCTCTTCAGAGCTGTCAGGCAGGGATGTTTAAGTCTACTGAAGCTGTGCCCACAGCCACCCCTTCCCCTGGGTGCTCTGTCCCAGGGAGATGGGGGTTTTATCTATAAGCCCCTGACTGGAGCTGCTGCCTTTTTCTTTTCAGAGATGGCCTGCCCAGAAAAGAGGAATCTAGAGAGGCAGTCTAGCCACAGCAGCCTTGCTGAGCTGCGGTTGGCTCCACCCAGTTTGATCTTCTGAGTGGCTTTGTTTACACTGTGAAGGTAAAACCACCTGCTCAAGCCTCAGCAATGGTGGATGCTTCTCCCTCCACCAAATTCTAGTATCCCAGGTCGAGCTCAGACTGCTGTGCTGGCAGTAAGAATTTCAAGCCAGTGGATCTTAGCTTGCTGGGCTCCATGGGGGTGGGACCTACCGAGCCAGGCCACTTGGCTCCCTGGCTTAAGCCCCCTTTCCAGGGGAGTGAACAGTTCTGTCTCGCTGGCATTCCAGGTGCATCTAGGTTATGAAAAACAAAAAACAAAAAAACTTCTAAAGCTAGCTCAGTGTTTGCCCATACAGCCGCCCAGTTTTGTGCTTGAAACCCAGGGCCCTGGTGGCGTAGGCACAAGAGGGAATCTCCAGGTCTGCGGTTTGTGAAGACTATGGGAAAAGCACAGTATCTGGGCCGGAGTGCACTGTTCCTCACGGCACAGTTTCTAATGGCTTCTCTTTGTTAGGAGAGGGAGTTCCCTGACCCCTTGTGCTTTCTGGGTGAGGCAACACCCCACCCTTTTTCGGCTTGCCCTCAATGGGCTGCACCCACTGTCCGATCAGTCTCAATGAGATGAACCGGTTACCTCAGTTGGAAATGCAGAAATCACCTGCCTTCTGCATCGATCTCACTGGAAGCTGCAGACCTGAGCTGTTCCTATTCGGTCATCCTGCCAGCAATCTCCAAATTATTTATTTTATTGCTCATGTCATCAGTTTGATATACAGTTAATTTTCTTCAATTTGATTCAATTTTTTAGGGATTCATGTTTTTCCATTTTAATTTTTTTACTTTTTTTTTTTTTTTTTGAGACAGAGTCTCACTATCTCCCAGGCTGGAGTGCAGTGGTGCGATCTCGGCTCACTGCAAGCTCTGCCTCCCGGGTTTACGCCATTCTCCTGCCTCAGCCTCCCAAGTAGCTGGGACTACAGGCGCTCGCCACCACACCTGGCTAATTTTTTGTATTTTTAGTAGAGACGGGGTTTCACCGTGTTAGCCAGGATGGTCTCGATCTCCTGACCTCGTGATCCACCCGCCTCGGCCTCCCAAAGTGCTGGGATTACAGGTGCAAGCCACCGTGCCCGGCCAATTTTTTCACTTTTTAATTATGTACAACAATAGTTGAAACCATACATATACTCAGGAGTGGAATATAATTAGCAAATATTTTCTTCAGATTGTTATTTGTCTTTGTTTATGGTGATTTTTTGACATGTGTAAGTCATTCAGATATATTTTTATGTAGCTAAATTTATTAATATTTAACTTGCTTTTGGAATTTGGGCTTTATTTATGACAGTTTTTCTGTTTCCAGATTAAAGAGGAATACATCATTAATGACAAGATATGAAATGCAAATGCACACATTAAAAAAACCCTAAGTATCATTAGCCTTTCGGGAAATACAAATCAAAACTACCATGAGATAACATTGTATAGATAGATAACATCCATTTGATTGATTAAAAAGGAAATATATGGATATATCAAGTGATGTAAAGACTGAGGAATAATTGGGATTTTCATACACTGCTGGTAAACAATAAAAATAATATACCCACACAAAAAATAAAAAAAGGAGGAATACATCTATTTTTAATTCAAATATATGGTATGAGTCATTGTGTTTAGATCTTGCATCCATCTGGAAATTATTATTTAGTAGTATTTTATTTTAAAATATCAGATGCTTTTTTTCTTCCCAGATGCTGTTTTAGATATTAGAGATATAATGGTGACAAGATCAACAATATCTAGTTTCTCTCAGAGCTAATGTTCCTGTAAGGGGAGACAGCCCACAAAGATGATTTTAAATAAAGGTAAATGCCATAAAGACGGTGAAAGAAGATGATGTGACAAGGAGGGACTGAAGAGATGCCTCTCTGATAAGATGATATTTGAGTGATTCTTGCATCACATGAAGAGGACAACTATATCAGGCTCTGGGACAGAACTATCCAAGCCAAGGGAATACTTAGTACAAAGGCACTGAGGAGCAATAGCCCCTAACACTTATTAAATGTTTACTATGAACCAGACACAATGCCAAAACACTTCCTCTGCATTATCTCATTTATTTCTTACAACTACCCTTTGAATTAGGTAACAGTAATCATCCTATTTTGAATATGAGGACACTGAGATTGAAAGGGCCTCCTCTCAGTCTCCAGTGTAGCTTTCAGGGCTCAACCTGCAACAGTGAATTCCTGATTTTATCTCTCCAGGCTTTCATGAGAAGGACAAGAAGCCATATTGCCGAAAGGATTTCTTAGCCATGTTCTCACCCAAGTGTGGTGGCTGCAATCGCCCAGTGTTGGAAAACTACCTTTCAGCCATGGACACTGTCTGGCACCCAGAGTGCTTTGTTTGTGGGGTCTGTATAATCACTTTTCTTTCGGACTTAGGGAAAGTCAAGGGTTCTCCTCTCTGAGAGGAAGAGCTGCAGTTAGTGAAAGGGTTCACAGTCCTGAATGAGGAATGGATGTGCGCATCCTAAAGGAGAAACGAGATACAGATCCATTTGCTTGTCTGTTTTGCAAGCGGGAAATCTAGTCTCCATTTGTCAAGAACCTGAGGGAAATTCCTGTAGCTGGCAGGTAACTGTCAGGAATTTCAAGGCTGAAAATTTTACTTTGCTGACATTTTACCTCTTGACATTTGCATTCTTTTTCTCTCTCTTCTCTCTACCCCAGGACTGCTTCACCAGTTTTTCTACTGGCTCCTTCTTTGAACTGGATGGACGTCCATTCTGTGAGCTCCATTACCATCACCGCCGGGGAACGCTCTGCCATGGGTGTGGGCAGCCCATCACTGGCCGTTGTATCAGTGCCATGGGGTACAAGTTCCATCCTGAGCACTTTGTGTGTGCTTTCTGCCTGACACAGTTGTCGAAGGGCATTTTCAGGGAGCAGAATGACAAGACCTATTGTCAACCTTGCTTCAATAAGCTCTTCCCACTGTAATGCCAACTGATCCATAGCCTCTTCAGATTCCTTATAAAATTTAAACCAAGAGAGGAGAGGAAAGGGTAAATTTTCTGTTACTGACCTTCTGCTTAATAGTCTTATAGAAAAAGGAAAGGTGATGAGCAAATAAAGGAACTTCTAGACTTTACATGACTAGGCTGATAATCTTATTTTTTAGGCTTCTATACAGTTAATTCTATAAATTCTCTTTCTCCCTCTCTTCTCCAATCAAGCACTTGGAGTTAGATCTAGGTCCTTCTATCTCGTCCCTCTACAGATGTATTTTCCACTTGCATAATTCATGCCAACACTGGTTTTCTTAGGTTTCTCCATTTTCACCTCTAGTGATGGCCCTACTCATATCTTCTCTAATTTGGTCCTGATACTTGTTTCTTTTCACGTTTTCCCATTTCCCTGTGGCTCACTGTCTTACAATCACTGCTGTGGAATCATGATACCACTTTTAGCTCTTTGCATCTTCCTTCAGTGTATTTTTGTTTTTCAAGAGGAAGTAGATTTTAACTGGACAACTTTGAGTACTGACATCATTGATAAATAAACTGGCTTGTGGTTTCAATAACTCATTGTCATATTTGTTTGGGAGATAAACTTTCTGCTTCCCGTGTTATATACTAGGCACTATGTACAATTAAGATTATATCATACCTCGTTTCCTTCCATCCAATGCACACTTTAAAATTTTTAATCAGAAGAAATTAAAAGGAGGGTCTCCTTTTCACTAATTTTTCTTTTTTTTCTTTTTAGTTTGGTCCCATAACCATTTTATTTTCTAGACTTAGATGATTGAATCATTTTTAAAAATGACAAAGCTTCTTAAAATTGTTTTTATTACTTTGTTTACAGGAGGAGAAACCCTGGCTCTCCATTAGAAACCTTACAAATTCATTTCTTTTTCCTTTTTTTTTTTTTCTGAGATGGAGTTTCGCTCTTGTTGCCCAGGTTGGAGTGGAATGGCGCGATCTCGGCTGACCGCAACCTCCACCTCCTGGGTTCAAGCAATTCTCCTGCCTCAGCCTCCTGAGTAGCTGGAATTACAGGCATGCGCCACCACACCAGGCTAATTTTTCTATTTTTAGTAGAGATGGGGTTTCTCCACGTTGGTCAGGCTGGTCTCAAACTCCCGACCTCAGGTGATCCACCCACCTCGACCTCCCAAAGTGTTGGGATTACAGGCGTGAGCCACTGCGCCCAGCCACAAATTCATTTCTAAAGTAAAAAATGAAACACAATTTCACATTTGCCTCCTGAAGACAAATGAGATGGCTGTTCTTAGAGCATCTCTGAAGAAAGATGCTATAAATAAAGCTCAAATGATTATTATCTAGAATTAGGAAAGCCAAGACTCAAAGAAAAATTCCTCTTAATCATTTGTTCATCTCAAAATATTATAAGTAAATGTTTAGAAAAGCTTGTCAGGTTATCAGAGAATCTGATTTTCTTATGTCCTGTCAGTTTACTGTCCTACAGTTTACTTTTTATAAAAGTAAGCTTCACAAGGACTAATCTTTCTGCAAAAGGGATATTGAGAAGATCAGTACAATATCTTTCTTCCCGTGGTCTTAAAAATAATTGTGTGATTATTTGTTATAACAAAAACCAGACTCTTAGAATCCTTGATTCTGAGATAAGTTACTGGCGAAAACTCCTTCACTGGAGGTATTTTTAAAAATAGGACAAAATTTGATGTCTTTAGATTGATAGAGGAATAGTACTACTTGGGAGAGCTGAAATGGATTAAATGTTTCTTGCCAAACTTTATTATATCTATGTCCTTTGTTGGAATGGATAATAAGGGGGTTGTGAGAGTTACAAGGAATTGGCAACAGTTAATTCTATAAAATAGGAACTCCAAATGCATGTAAGATATGTGGGAGGCCACACAGATACGGAACCATCTGGCCTCTATCCTGTTTGGCTGTCTGAGAGCGCCAGACTATGCAGAACACACATTCAACTTTTAAACATCCTCTTTGCAATGTCTTCACTCAACGATGTCACACGCAGGTGTTAATATGGCAATGTTCTTGGTTGCCTTGGCAATTTGACAAAATAAACTTGGAGTTTTAGCCCTTAAAAAGAAATGTACAGGTGCTAAAACTTTTTTAAAAAGGATTAGCTATTTTGAGATTCAATAGAATTTAACTATTTTTAAATGTCAAAGAAAATCCAGAGTTCACTAAGATGTAATTAAGAAGTGAAAACACTTTCTTCCCACATTGAACGGAAGTGGTTTTATTTGCTCAAAAAGAGATACTGACTTCAGGACCAGTGTTTTAGCAATAAGGAAACTACTCACAAGTAAAAAGTTCTGCTTTTTAAAAACCCTGGAAATGCCATTACTAAAATTGATCACGTACTTATTTACTTTTGGTTTTGAGTAACTTCTAGGATGTTTAAAAAATAAAACCCACCCTCACAGGACAGGGATTTTCCACCAGTGAATATAAACATATAGAAAGGAATATGCTCTAGAGTTGGCACTGTATTCTCAAAGGGGAGTCCCTCAATTAGTTTGGTCAGTTTTTCTTTGAAGTAAATTTAGTCTCTTCCAAGGTAATACTTTGATAAAGACAACAATTATTTTTCCATCCAAGTTCTATCACACACTCTTCTTGGAGTTGTAGGATGGCTGCCAGCGCATGCTTCTTGTTTCATAACCAGTAGGGGGAGCAAGAGTGCTTTTATCGAGCATTTGCAAGCAAAAGTTCTGGGATTCATCCTCACTGGTCTAGCCTAGGTCACATACCAGTAATTTTTGCTGGGGGAATGGATTCTGCAGCTTGGCTTAAACCAAACTGAATTATTTCCAAAGTTACAAGCAGGACTAAGTTTCCCGAAAGCACAAGGGCTTTGTGGAGGAGATGTGAATACTTTAAAAGCTGGATATTGGTAAGAAGCGGGAAGAGGACAATGAATCTTGAATTCGTGTGTTCAAAAGTGAAAATATTGGAGTTTCTGAGTTTCAAGGTAATGTAGAAGGTAAGCAAGCAGGCATTGTCAGTATCCTGAGGGATCATGTCCAAGAACTTTACAGAACCCAAAGGCAGAGGAGAGAGCCAGGAATGCTGGTGTCCTGAGGAACATGCGGCAGTGGCACTGCTCTTCCTGGGCCCCTAGGGGCGCACCACTGAGAAGCATCAAAAGCACCTTCAGTTTGGCAGTCTGGAAAAGGAGATCTTGCAGCTGAAATCAAGGTGAGAAAGAGTAGCAGCTTCCTTTAGAGGCGAGTGTCTTAGGCATAAGCACGTCCTCAATAAGGCAGTGGTGGCAGCCACTGAAATATGACACTGAAAAAGAGATTGCCTGTCCCCAAAATATTGTGGAGGTTGTGTTACTAGGTACCATCAGTGCAGCACATTAAGTGCTGGGAACACAGAGCTCAGTGGGGAAATGGAAATCTCTTGGGATCCACAGGATAAAAAAGAAAGAAATCTCAGGTAAAAGCTGGTGCTTGGGTTGTACTTGTTGCAAATTTATAACTTTGCCAGAAGGCAGTGTTGTCTCAAATTTATAAGAAAGGAGACAGTTTATGTAGGACATTCCCCTACCTTAGATATAGTCAGCGTATAGTGCCTAAATTGATTTTCCGTGGGGAGAAGTCTCCTAACTGTGTTTAGGTTCATAGACCATGGATTACGGACAATTGCATAAACTTCCTGGCACCCTGTTGAGAGCCATCCATCTTCCCTTCCTATTTTGGATATCATTAAATCACAATAAATACTGTATTATGGGAATAACATTTTTCCTGGGATAAGTACCTCCATTCTAGCGAGAGATATCTCAGATCACAGGTGTTACTGGAAAAACTCCTAAAGCTGAAAATGAACAGACCAAGGAATCAAAGAAGGCTTTACTTTCTCTAAACTTTAACTTAGAGAATTTGATTTTGGATTTTAATGTTTTTGGACTTTGATATGCTATGTTGAATAATATTATTGGATATAATTGAGGATGGGACGTGAAATGAAAGGGGAGTGAATTTCTGAGCTGTTTTTCCCCACAGTCTAGTTTCTCCACAAAGAACTGCATCTCCCATTCTTGGTCCATGTGTTTAGGCAAGGCTGACTTTAACCTCAGCCTCAGAAATAGGTACAGTCCCAGGTCTGACCAATAAAAGTACTTTGTTCTTCTGAAGGAAGGTGATTGGATCAGGGATAGACATGTGACCTCAGCAAAGCCAATGACCTTTACTAGATTTATTCAGAAAGAACATTCCCATTCGTTGGAATTCTAGTTGTGCGGATAATAAAAACCCATTGCTGCTGATAAATATTTTTATCATCACTTGGGGGAGGCTGTCTGAGAAAGAGGCCAGCACAGTGGAACGTAGAACCAAGTAATGGAGAGGCTGTGTTTTCTTTTTTTGAGCCACTCAGTTCTACCATAGCAGCATCTTAACCATAGACTAGGAAATTATGTGAGCAAATAAATTCTCTTTTTTGTTTACATTGAACAAATAAACTCAGTGTTGGTACAGAACGTATATTGTATATCGTCATGAAAAACTAATACACAAAAATAGTGTTTGATCACTTCTTGATGCTTTTTACACCAGAGCACAGTGAAACTCTGTAGTTTAAGGTTAAGTCATCCTGTGGATAGCTCGCATATTTAGAGTACAAGCTTCTTGCTCCTGTCCAATTTTGCAGTATCTGTCACTATTACAAAGGGGAAGAAAAAGGTTGTGAGGGTGTTGTCATCCTCTAAGATTTAAAATTGTTTTGGAAATGATGGTATTCATGCTACTTTGTTTAATTATAATCCAGAGAGAACTATTACGTATTTGATATTACTGCAATACTCTTTATAGTGAAAACTAGTTTTAAAACATCCTGATACCCCACTAGCAAACAAAAAAGGAAGAAAAATTAGACGATTATAAGAGAAATCAATTTACATTTATCCTGTGTCTTAGTCTGCGCAGTTGCCAAAACAAAATACCATAAATGGGGTGTCTTAAGCCACAGAAATTTATTTTCTCATAGATCTGGAGATGAGAAGTCTCAGATTAAGGTCTGCAGGTTTGAATTCTGTTGAGGGCTCTTTTCTTGGCTTGCATATAGCTGCCTTCTTGCTTTGTCCTCACAGGGTGAAAAGAGGGAGAGAGAGAGAGACCACAAGAGATCTGGTGTCTCTTCTTGTAAGGAAACCAATCTTATCAGATCAGGGCCCAACCCTTATGATTTCGTTTAATCTTAATTACTTCTTTACTTAAAATACAGCCACATTGGGGGTTAGGCCTTCAACATATTTTGGAACGACACATTCAGTCCATTACATCCTGAAAGGTGCTACTTAAAGAAAATTGGGTTTATATGAAGTTAAGGAGGAAAAAGAAGACATTTATAGTGATTCTGAGAGGGGACCTTAGGGACACTTTTCAATGCTTTGGAAGTTTGAAGTGGTTATTTTCATTATGTTCAATAACACTTAGAAAATAGGACTTTCTGTCTCTAGGTGCTCTTGCATTTTCAGACATGAGTTAGAAAATATTGGAGGCTCAAAAATAAAATGAAGAACTTGGAGATTTTCCTAAGATAATCTGAAAATTTTGAAATGGAGGAAAAGTAGGACGGAAGAAAGTTACAGGATATATAAGATAATTTTTGAGTTGGGCAAGGTGAAATTTTCAGAGCTTTCAGTAAAGGAGGCAAGATGGGCCGTATAACACACTATCTGAGGAAAAGAAAGACAGAGTGGGGGGAATTGTCACTCAGTTCCCTTACACAAACTACCTGGTGAAGCTACTACTTACCCTAGATTGTCTCACAATTTGGGGTTTTTCTAGAAGTGGATGCTGAGACTAGGACTTGTGTATAGTAGTCTATTTAGGAGGCAATCTCTAGATGTACAGCTAGAAGAGCCAAAAGTGAGATATTTTCTATATTCTACAGGGATTACGCCTGTAATCCCAGCACTTAGGGAGGCCGAGGTGGGCAGATCACGAGGTCAGGAGATCGAGACCATCTTGACCAACACAGTGAAACCCCGTCTCTACTAAAATACAAAAAATTAGCCGGGTGTGGTGGTGTGCAGCCTGTAGTCCCAGCTACTCAGGAGGCTGAGGCAGAGGAATCGCTTGAACCCGGGAGGAGGAGGTTGCAGTGAGCCAAGATAGCGCCACTGCACTCCAGCCTGGGCATCAGAGTGAGACTCCGTCTAAAAAAAAAAAAAACCCAAAAAAACAAACAAACAAAAAAGAAAAGGCAAGGAAGCCAAATCAGTGTGCATTAATGAGCAGATTACTGTCTTGGGAAGTTGGAACTCAATACTCAGAGGACCTCTGGGATTCATTGTAGAGTACAAGAGGTGGTCCACCAACCCTTACACCCCACTTTGTCTTCCTTGTACTCAAGCTGCATGTACTCTGAGGCCAAAGAAAGCCCTTTTTCTAAATCACAGGCACTTTGAGTAGGAGCAGCAGTGTGTACCTAGCAGTAAGTGCCAACAGATAGGGGTGGGGAACTAATGCCATTTGTTGGGTAAAGTTATCGAGGGGTAAGGTTAAAAGGAAGAAAATCATACCAAAGGACTTCACATTACCGGTAATCACAAGACCGAATTTGTGGTAAGCCATGCATTTGCAAAGTTTTATAATATTCCCAGCTCTATGAAGCTTAATGTATTTCATCTAAGGTAGTATTAGTAGAGGGGATGACAGAAGGGAGAAAGTGGGCAAGGATTATTATTTCCATTTACCTGTGGAAGAAGCAGTTGATTACATGAATAGGTCAAGGTGACTTGATTTAGAAACAGAACTAAAGTTTGTTAATTCCTTGTCTGGGATGCTTTCTTTTAGGCTGTATATCAACAATGTAAAGTGCCCATGAGGTGAATTTTCAAGGGACAAGCAAGGGCACTAGGGCATCAAAGTGATCTGCTCTAGGCTACACTGTTTTGGTTATAGTGGCAAGAATAGCAGCCATGGCTTCAGGCAAACCAAAATTTAAAAGTTGAGTTTACCACTTGCAAACTGTAAGTGAATTTACCGCTTGTAAACCTTGGTTAAACCACTTATCTTCTACAAATTTAGGTTTCATGATATGTTAAACATGGGTAATAATATCCACGTGGGTTTGTTGTGGGGATTAACTGAGATAATACGTGAGAAAGGGCTTTGTAAACTGCCAAGTACCATACATAAAAGGCATTAACAAAATAGTCCAAGAGATATGTGAGGAAGTCAACACAGCATCCATTCCTAGCATTTCCATGGAGACCATGAAACCATAGCAGGCTTTTAGTTGTTTTTGTATGATTTTAGAAATCTTTTTTAAGGCTCAGGATGAAAGCTGATGGAATTGAAAATGCTGGGAGATTAAGAGAAGAGCTTGAGTTTGAGCTCATAATCTTCCTTTACAGCAACATATTGACAAAATAATACTCAGGAGTGAACGATCTCCATGGCACAGAAATCTATGCAGTTAGCTACTTCCCATAGATGGAAAACAGCTCACCCAGGTCAAGGAGGCATAGCCATGAGAAAAGAGCTCAGGAGCCTTCCAGGGCCAAGATTTTCCACTGCCTGCCATAGATCTAACTATAATCCAAGGGAAATTCCTAGGAAAATCTTTTTTAACGCTATTACTTAAAATAATTCAGCTTGGGAAAGATACAATTCCATATGCCTTCTGATCAACAGCTAGGTAATGGATGGTACTCTGTTAGCCAATACCAGACTCACTGACAGGAATATTGTGATCTTTTGGTATATGGATCATTTGAGACTGATGTAATTGAGTTGCAGTTAAAAGGTGGGGAAGACTTTATGTTGTGGGTCTTGACTTCAGGTTTGAGTTTCCATCCCAGCTCTACCACTTACTAGTTCTGTTCCTTCATGAATATCCTTTGGTTTTTGAGCATTTATTCACTCACTCAGGGAAAAGAAAGTTGAGTTAGAAGTGTAGTTCCAAGGATGATCAAAGTTGAGAAGTAATTTTTGGATGTAACTGGACAGAGACCACAGAGATGGAGATATTGTTGATTTAAGAGATGTGAGGTGACATAACTAAAACAGATTCTAAAGGATACAGATGATATGGAGGCAGGAGCCCAGATGAGAGTTATACTTAGGAACAAGAGTGTTCCATCTTCTATGTGTTTACGTATGCAAGTGTTTTGTAACAGCAGACAGATGCAGTTTCCTTTTCAAAAGTGGGAGCAAGATATATTTCAAGACACCAGTTTAAACTGTTTTCATTAGCAAATAGCCCCAGGGTTTATCAATTTAAAAATTTTCCATATTTGTTCATAATGACAAGCAGACAGTGCTACTTTAAACTATCACATCTAGTGATCTGGAAGCTAGTTTGTTGAGTTAAGGACAAATACATTTCCCTGAGGTGGGCTCCTAAATTGATATACCTGTGCCTTCTCCAATTTATTAAATAGAGAATCAGATGGGATTTGCATAATTCAGTAGGTACTTACTGTCAAAAGGCACTGTTCTAGGTTCCAGAAGAAACCTAAGATGAGTAAGGCATAGTTTGCCTTCAAAAAGTTTACAGCCCAGCAAGGACCCACACATTCAGTCTCTAATACGAGTTTGTCCATACAGGATGGTTTCTGGACAGGATTGTGTAATAGGTAGGAATATAGGAGTGGGAGAAGCTAAAGTATTGTGTTCTAGGAAAAGAAACAAAAGGAGACATAATATACAGGAGAAAATAACACAAAGCAATTTGAAAAAAAAATGCTATAAATAGGACACACATAATTGTTTAAAACCTCGGAGAAAAACTTCACTTTGGAGATGGCATTAATTTGAACCTAAAAGTAAAAGTGATTAAAAAAAATAAAACTAGGGCATTCCAAACTGAGGGAACAGCACGAAATATGTCAAAGGGGGACAGCATACATGGTGTGGTGAGTGAAGGAAGGACCCAGTTCACTGAGCGTCCACAGTGTGCCAAACACTGCGGCATGGGCCCTTGGGGTCTATGTGGATAGAAAGTAGGATGCCTGGTGGCTATCAAGAGAAATAAAAACTGGAAAAACTGTTCAGGGTTAGAGTGCTTTGAATGTCAGGCTTGGGAAGCGGGACATCATCTTGTAGGCAACAGTCATCAACAGTGTTGAATGCAGTGGATTGTGGAGAGAATGGGAGGTAGCAGAAGGTGTGACCACGCACGAGCTGGGGTTCCAAGTTTTCTGTGTTTGCTCCATTGTCCCATTGGACTTTACCTACAAAATGCAAATTCAAAGATAACATTTTAAATAATTTGAAGATGACAATCACAAGATGTTAGTCTCAAAGGGTGGGACTTTTCTGAGCACAGGGTCTGTTTTGCACATCTGTGAAGCTAGCCTCGGAGCAACCTTTAAGAATATTGTTTCAGCTAGACCAGAGAAATAAGTGTTGAGATTTATGGCACTTCAGGGTGACTATAGAAAATAATAATATGTCAAAATAACTTACAGAGTAAATTTCAAATGTATCACCACAAAATAATGTCAAGCCTGGGTGCAGTGGCTCATGCCTGTAATCCCAGCACTTTGGGAGGCCAAGGTGGGCAGATCACGAGGTCAGGAGATTGAGACCATCCTGGCTAACATGGTGAAACCCTGTCTCTACTAAAAATACAAAAAATTAGCTGGGCGTGGCGGCAGGCGCCTGTAGTCCCAGCTACTCAGGAGGCTAAGGCAGGAGAATGTCGTGAACCCGGGAGGTGGAGCTTGCAGTGAGCCAAGATCACGCCACTGCACTCCAGCCTAGGTGACAGAGTGAGACTCCGTCTCAAAAAAAAAAAAGAAAAAAGGTCAAGAGGTGATGTCTATATTAGCTTGATTTAATTGCTCCACATTGTATATCCATATCAAAACATCACATCATACTCCATAAATGTAATACAACTGTGATTTGTCAATTAAAAATAATATAAATAAACAAAAGAAAAAAGAATATTATTTCAACATAGTGGAGTAGAAACAGTTGAAGCTACAATGCAGCGGATTAGGAGAGAATGGAAGATGCTGTGGACCACTTTTGATCATTTTGATGGTAGAAGGAAGGATGCTGGTATAGCACAAGAATATATTAGGATGGGAGACAGATTCTTGAACATTTTTGGGGAAGAGATGGTAACTTTAGAATGTCTATGGACAAATGGGGTAGGAATGAGTAAGGGAGGGTGGAGGGACAGGAGTAATTGCCATAGTATGGTCTCACCAAAGTAAGTAGAGATGGATCAATGGCATAGATGAAGGGGCCAGCCTGCTACAGAAGAGGGGGAAATTCTGAGGTAGGAAGGCAGAGAAGGATAGGATGGATTTAGATGGAGAGATTGTAGTAAAGTTAATATTAGATGGCCTTGATTTGGTAAAGGAGATGAAGGAAAACACATCCACAGAGAGTGCATTTACCTGAGTGGGGCTGCAGAGTCTGCAGACACTCAGAAAATTCTGAGAAATTGATGGATAGAAATAAGTCTGCAAGTCATGAAGCATTGAAATTAGGCCAATTAATAACCCTACCATGAAGTCTGAATGTTCAATAGAAAGGAAGAGTTGCATATCTCTCACTTTAAATCAAAAGCTAGAAATGATTAAACTTAGTGAGGAAGGCATGTCAAAAGCTGAGACAGGGCAAAAGCTGAGACAGGGCAAAAGCTGAGACAGGGCAAAAGCTAGGCTTTTTGTGTCAAACAGTTGTCCCAGTTGAGAAAGCAAAGAAAAAGTTGTTGAAGGAAATTAAAAGTGCTACTCCAGTGAAGACCTGAATGATAATAAAGTGAAATATCCTTATTGCTGATTCAGAGAAAATATTAGTGTTCTGGATAGAAGATCAAACCAGCCACAACATTTCCTTAAGGCAAAGCCTAATACAGCAAGGCCCTAACTCTCTTCAATTATGTGAAAGCTGAGGAAGTTGAGGAAGCTGCAGAAGAAAAATTGGAAGCTAGCAGAGATTGGTTCATGAAGTTTAAGTAAAGAAGCCATCTTTAGAACATAAAAGTGCAAAGTGAAGCAGCAAGTGCTAATGTAGAAGCTACATCAAGTTATCCAGAAGATTTAGCTAAGATAACTGATGGAAGTCGCTACACTAAACTATATATATATGTATATTTTTTTTGAGACAAGGTCTCCCTCTGCCACCCAGGCTGGAGTGCCATAGTAAGATCTCGGCTCACTGAAGCCTTTGCCTCCTGGATTCAAGTGATTCTCATGCCTCAGCCTCCTGAGTAGCTGGGATTACCACACCCTGCTAATTTTTCTTTTCCTTTTTTAATTTTTTTTTGGAAAGGGATGGGGTTTCACCATGTTGCCCAGGCTGGTCTCAAACTCCTAACCTCAGGTGACCCGCCTACCTCAGCATCCCAAAATGCTGGAATTACAGGCATAAGCCACCATGCCCAGCCTAACGATAAATTGTTAATGCAAACAAAACACCGTTATATTGAAAGAAATGCCATCTAGGACTTTCATAGCTAGGAAGGAGAAATTGATGCCTGGCTTCAAAGCTTCCACAAACAGGCTGACTCTATTGTTAGGGGCTAATGAAGCTGGTAAGTTTAAATTGAAGCCAATGTTCATTTATCATTTTGCAAATTCTAAGACCCTTAAGAATTATGCTAAATCTACTCTGCGTGTGCTCTATAAACGGAAAAGACTAGATTATAGCATGGTTTATTGAATATTTTAAGCGCACTATTGAGACCTACTACTTAGAAAAAATATTTTTTTCAAAATATTACTGCTCATTCACAAATGTACCTGGTCACTCAAAGCTTTTATGGAGATGGACAAGGAGATGAATGTGGTTTTCATGCCTGGTAATACAATATCCATTCTGCAGCCCATGGTTCAAGGAGTAATTTTGACTTTCAAGTCCTATTGTTTAGAAAATACATTTCGTAAGGCTATAACTGCAATAGATTGTGATTCCTCTGATGGATCTAGTGAAGTAAATTGAAAACCTCTGGAAGGATTCACCATTCTAGATACCACTAAAAACTTTTGTGACTCATGAATTCATGTAATTAACATTAACAAGAGTTTGGAAGAAATTGATTTCAACTCTCTTGGATGACTTTGAAGGATTCAAGACCTCAGTGGAGGGAGTAACTGCAGATGTGGTGGAAATAGCAAGAGAACTAGAATTAGAAGTAAAGCCTAAAGATGTGACTGAACTGCTGCAATCTCATGACAAAACTTGAACAGATGAGGAAATGCTTCTTATGAATGAGAAAATAAAGTGGTTTCTTGAGATAGAATCTACTCTGGGGGAAGAGGCTGTGAACATTGTTGAAATGACAACAAAGGATTTCAAGTATTCCATAAAGTTAGTTGATAAAGCACTGGGAAGGTTTGAGAGGACTTAATACAATTTTGAAAGAAGTTCTACTGTAGGTCAAATGCTATCAACAACAGTTCATGCTACAGAGGAATTTTTCATGAAAGAAAGTCAATCAGCCAGGCACGATGGCTCATGCTTGTAATCCCAGCACTTTGGGAGGCCGAGGTGGGTGGATCACTTGAGGTCAGTAGTTCCAGACCAGCCTGGCAAGTCTGGCAAACATGGTGAAACCCCATCTCTACTAAAAATACAAAAACTAGCCAGGCCTGGTGGCGTTTGCCGGTAATCCCAGCTACTCAGGGGGCTGAAGTATGAGAATATCTTGAACCTGGGAGGTGGAGGTTGCAGTGAGTCAAGATTGCGCCACTGCACTACAGTCTGGGCAACAGAGAGAGACTCCATCTCAAAAAAAAAAAAAAGAAAAGAAAGTCAGTCAATCGATGCAGCAATCTTCACTGTTGGTTTATTTTAGGAGATTGCCACAACCACCTCAACCTTCAGCAAGCATCATCCTGATCAGTCAGCAGCCATCAAGGCCCCTCACCGGCAAAAGAAAAAATTACAACTCACTGAAGGCTCAGGTGATCATCATCATTTTTTAGCAATAAAGTATTTTAAATTATGTACATTTTTTGGACATAATGCTAGTAGACCCAGTATAGTGTAAACATAACTTTTATATGCACTAGGAAGCAAAAAAAAAATTGTGTGACTTGCTCTATCGTGATATTCATTTTATTGGAGTAGTCTGAAACCAAACCCCCAGTATCTCCAAAGTTTATTTGTACTTTATGTTGATTAACTTTAATTCTCAACAGTCCCATAATGAGAAATAGAGGAATGGAGAGACTAAGTGACTTGCAAGAGTCCCTCCAGGAACTAGAAGGGAGAGCTGGGATTTGAACCCATGCATTTGGCTCCAGGACTGTAAGTCTCACCTGTAGGCTGCGGTGCCTGGTGTACCATAACACGTAGGAGATCTCCAGGGTCCTAAGAGGTGCTACCATTCTATGTGGCCATGAAATTAACCTTTTAGGCAGATGGGTAGTTTCTTGATTCTTCCTGTAATTCCAAAGCATTTTTCCTGTATGAACTCACTTGTCATTGCGGCAAGAAAGACAAGTCTTCATTTTGCCAGCCCCACCGCTGGGAACGGCTCCTTAGGTGAAAAGCTTGGGATAGCCTCAAGATGGCAGCATTAACTCAAATATGGATGGACAGATCCTGGTATCTGGCCTTGAAGTAATCCAAAAGTCAGAATTGGCCCTTTTCTGCCTTTTAGTTTTTTTAAAACCCCAAGCTGTAACTGTTTGGAGGTGAAGAGTCAACCTGATCTTGTGAGGAGACCAAACAGTGAAGACACTGGAGGCATCAAAGTGGAAAAGCAGAAGTATTTCCCAGGAATTAAGAGTCTTTGGAGGGAAAAGAAAGAGGATATATTGGGTGCCATTAAGAAATGATGAGGTTCAAAAAGATTAATGATTCATCTATTATCCATTCATAAGTGGCTAATTCTAGGCCTCTTACTTGCCAAAACCAAGAACCACCCCACTTCACCATGTTGATAGTCTTCATTTTTATCTATTTAATTTTTTAGAATATTAAACACTGATAAAGAAGAGTACTAAATTATTTTATAAAGCCAGATATATAGGCTAGATTGTCTCAGTGGTTAGAGTCTTGATGCTACAGGTGAAGTTTTCTCTTCTTTCCTCATCTTGTTCCTCTCCCTTTCTTCCTCTTCTCTCCCCTTCCCTCCCCTCTTTCTTTTCTTTCCTTTCTCTCTTTATCTGTCTTATCCCGTTTTTCCCTCTTTCTTTCTCTAGTTTTTTCCTTGGTTGTTTTATTGGTCAAATAAATAATAAGGAAGAAACCTAAGTCTTCAGAGTTGGACATGTGGGTCAGGTGATTAGATGCTACAAAATTCCAAGAGTATGCAAAAATATCCTTGGACTTCTATCACCTAGCTTGCCACTTGCTTGGCCACTTTGTATGTCTTCTTTTGTTAAAAATAATTATTCTAACAGGGGGCTTTGTCTTGGAAATGTTTTCATGAGAGCAAAGAAAAAGTGAGTAAATAAGCTCTACTTTTGTAACTGACTGTAGTGGAACATGCATTTGTGAGAATCTAAGAGAAATATTGTTTTGTAGATTCTGAGAGCACCTCTGCTTTTCCACATTTATTCCCAAGAGAAGCAGTAGAGCACAGAGTATAAATATATAGAATTTGGGTCAGACAGGCTTGAGCATTTCCTCACTTTCTGGAATTGCAAGATGCTCCAGGCTTCTCTGGTATATTCCCTGCTCCAGTGCTAGAACCAGCCATTTCTCGAAGGAGCCCTGGTTTCTTTTATTAGAGAATAATATTAGAAAAAGATCTAAGTGCTAGGTATGTACAGAAGTTTTCACATCTGTAAAATTGAAAAAAATATATATTTCTCATAGAGTTATATGAACATTAAGTGAAATAACACATACAAATATATACTGAATGAAGGGCTTGAAACATAGGAAGCTATATTATATATTATATAAATATATATTATATACATATAAATGTATCAAGAGCTGAAATAAAGAAATCCTTTGCTTCTTGTAGGCTCCATGTTAAAATTCATTTAAAACCAAGTTGACTGGGAAAAAAGTTCATGGAAGTGTTTTGATTCACAGAGCTCTTTGAAACTCTGAGTTCTGTAGACAGAGCTGGGTTTGGGAAAATGGAGATTCTGATGCAATTTATCATTTATAATCTGACATTTTGAAAATTTCTCCCCATTTAGTCTTAGATAAAGAGCCAACTCCCAATACTCACAGGAAATCTGTGGGCTGATTGTGCAGTGGCTGGATCCTCAAGCTCCTTTGAAAGCATTTTTTGATAGAATTTGCTCATCAATAATCTTAGCCTGTGACTAGGAGAACCAGGACTCCCCTGTGGCCCCTAAGGGATCTTTGAGGCACCTCCATATCATAATAATGTTTCAGTTCCCTCAGGAAAGTGGTGTTTTGATTGCTTGTTTGTATGTTGCTGAGCCCTGGATTGGAATTGAGACCTTAGGGAACCCCCCTTCAGAGGCTCCCAAATCTACATAGACACTAGCTTCTAGCTGATATCAGCCTTTTCACACAGTTTGATATGGCTCACTTACAGTCTCAAGCAAACTGCAGCGGCAGCTGAACTGTCTTTACACTTTTATCACATAGCCTCAGGAAATCTCTTACTATTTGAAATCCAAGGTCCTTAGAGACCAACAGCTCTTCTTTTCTTTTCTTTTTCAGACTTCAAAAAGTCCAGTGTTGAAGCAGTTCTGAATTGAGATCTCATAATTCCCAAGGACATAGGTATGATTTCCCTGATCTTTTTAAAAAGCAGTATTCTTCGCACTGTAGGTAGAAATAATGGGTTCGTCTAAAAGAAAGAGACTCAGAAGTAGGTATATAAAAAGACTCTTAATTCAATTTCCCCCAACCTCCTCTGCTACATTTCACAAGAATAGAGACAGAAGTTTCCCATAAGTAATTCGGAGTCACGTTTACTTAGACAGCCATTGCCATAGTCATTGCTAGATGGGGTGTTGCTACCAACTGGTGTTAATAAAACCTGGGAAATAACTTCATACGATTGGCCTACAGTTTAATAAAGAGATTGATTAATTAGCTTCTATGGAGCACCTGCTAGAGGCCCACACTGGCTGAATTTTCTTATATTTTATCTCACTTTATCTTCTGTCTATAAAGGAAAATTGACTTGCCTACAGTCCCAAAGCAAGTAAGCATTAAAGCTCTTATTCTAACTCAACTGCTGAGATTCTAATTACCTCATCCACTTAACAAATAGTTGAGTCTACCATGTGGCTGCCTTGAGTCTAAGTAGTGGATAATAAAGCGCAAAAGAGTGACAAACAATATAGGCCTTGTCTCTTCCCTTATGGAATTTATTCCATTGAGAATCTTCTTTAGAACTCCCCAAATGGGGGTGTGATGATTGGGGGTGATGCTTCAAACCCCTTTAGAAGCAATTTTGATGGAACTTTTTATTTCCAAACTATCTTAATGGCTTAGACTTCTCCTTCTCTCTTTATAACAATAATAATTCCTTAAATTTTAATGCTTTTTCAGGTTTTGACTTAATATTTTAACCTTAGATATTTCAGTATTCAACCGTAGATATTTTAAAAATATTTTTTCTCTTTCAAGACTCCTTCCGATATTTATTTTAGGTCCATGCAGAAAAGCCTGGGTTTTACAGGACTTGAGTGGGAGGAGATACAGCAGCAGCAGCAGGATTTGGATTCAGGCCTTGCAGCCTCCCAGGCTTGGTGCTGGGTAAATGAGGCCTTTTCTCTCTGCACTGACTCCAGATTTCTCCTTGCTGCTCTGGATCTCAACACATTTATTAACAGAGACTGCAATGCATAAACGGAAGGGTTGCCCATTAACGGAACACAGAAAGTACCTTGAATATTAATTGCCGGTAGAGGAACATGGCAGTCAGGGACAGTTCAATATGGCGGGGGCGGGGGGGTGGGTGTAATGGCTTTTAAAAACTGAACGTACAGCTTAAGTGAATAGACTCCTGTGGTCAATATTAACCAAGGAGATTGATCTAATAAGCATTTCAGAAGGTATTTTGGAAAATAATTCAGAATCCACCCTAAGTCAGCTGCATTTTATTCTTGGAATTTTTCCAGGTTTTCATCCTACCTTGTGTCTAGGAAAAGGTTGGTTTACAATATGGGAGGACTGGTATCTCTTTGGTCAAAGGACCACGTACTTAGCAAGCAGTTATCCCTTCCTGGGATCCCTCTACCAATAAGCAGCAATATTTGGCCAGAGTTCTAGACTTTAAACCAGTCACTTCACCTCACTGAGCCTCGGTTTCTTCATGTCTATATCTGCTATCTCTCTCTCTCTCTATCTAGTCATGCAATAATTAAATTAAGAAGTGAATGCAAAAAGAGTTTTATAAACTTTAGAACCACTGTTTTTTAAAAGCTCTAGAACAGTGGTTCTCAATCAGGGGAATGTTACCCTTCAGGGGACATTTGGCCACGTCTGGAGACATTTTTGACTGTTACAAATGGGAGGTGGTGGTGTTACTGGAATCTAGTGATTAGAGAGAGGCCAGGGAAACTGCTGAATATCTTACAATGCACAGGACAGCACTCCCTCTCCCCCACCACACCCTGCACCAAAGAACTGTCCAGCTCATAATGTCAGTAGTGCTGAGGCTGAAAAACCAGGCTCTGGAATTGTACAGATTTTACAGTTAAGCAGTTATGTGACCTTGAGGGGCACCACATCCTTCTGTTTCCAAATATGTAAGATCAGAACACTGCCTGTCATAGATTACAGGATATTGTGTTTGCTAAATTTGAGAGTATACACACATGTCAAAAGTCAAAAGAAAAACAAGTTAAAAAAGGCTGGATAAATATAATAGAAAGTGATGCTGGTCAGAAAGTCAATTAGTACATTACTGGATAGTAATGTACCAAGCTGACTGAGCCAGTTCTTATGAAACTAGCCACATCGTGTGTGTGTGATGGTCATCCAAAAAGGACAAGCTACACTATCCCCTTCTTTTTGTGTCACCAATCAAATTGCTGCTGTTACTCTTCAAGGTAAGCTAAAGTCCAGCAGAGCTGAAGCATTTTTCTCCTTTAATTCCTGTTTTCTCCTTTTTCCTCCTCTCTTCTCACATTTTCTCCCTCACTTCTTCTGAGTCTGCTCCCACTCACTCTGCTACTAGGAGTGGGGAAAGCCTGTGAACACCTCAGGTTGAGGAACAAAAATAGGAGAGAAAGAATGCTCTAAAATGAGGACAGAAACCTGTCTCCAGGCCTGACCATCTGCAAACTCACTGTTACTCCTGAATATTTTTCATATGACAAGTCTAAGCTAATATTTTGGCCCAAAGCACAAACCTGGTAGACAAGAGGATGATAGGATGTTTGTTGTGGGATTAAAGAGCATGAAAAATATTTCCATACTTTCCTATTGATGTTCTGTTTGATTCACCAAATATTTACATACATGTGTGAGGGGCCATGGTAAGGAGAGTGGACCAGAGGGGATGAAGATAGTTACTGTCCCAAGGGGCTTAGAGCTAGGTGAAGAGTGAGTGGTTGCCCAGCTAATTGTGCAATAATCAGCCAAGACTCAAGTGCTTTGAGGAGGGAGAGAAAGGAGGACTTAACTGGAATTAGGGTCTACAGCAAAGACTTCTGATAAGGGGTGAAAAAAGACATATGCATATACACAGATACACAAAGCCATTTGTATATATCAAATTTATAGTTTTATATTAAATATATATAAATACATACTCATATTTACATATACCATACTCCCTTTCAGTTGAACTACTGTTGAGGGATTAATTTATAAAGGCTTCAAAAGTTGTGGTTAAGATCTTTGGATTTAGTATCAAACAGACCTTGAGGGCACCACCTTGTCCTGCCAACACCTTGATTTTGGCCCAGTGAAACTGATTTGAGGCTTCTGGCCTCCAGAATTTTGAGAGAATAAACTTGTGTTGTTTTAAGGAAAAATAAATTTAGAAAATCTTTAGTGAGGCTATATTATTGGAAGTAGAATGTGGAAGACAATAAGTGATGGATGTTTTTATTTTTAATAATTAAATACATACAATCTTATATCCACATCATAATTTGTATTTATATGATGTAAATGTGTTAAAGAATTCAAGATGAATGTATGAACTTTAGATTCAGAAATATAAAGGGGTGAACTTTGATTCTGACCCCTAGATAGGCTATCTTGCTCAATATTCAGCTCCCTGAGCCTTAACTTCCTTATCTGTAAGATGGGCATAATAGCACCTATCTCATATGAATTAAAAGCTATAATATAACAGAGGGTTCTAGGATGAGTGTTACACACAGTACATTCTCTCTATACATTAGTTTTCTCCTTTTTTATCATTCCATCCTCCCTTCTCATACTTTCATTGGAATTTTGTTGACGCCTCTTCTTTAATCACCAGGCTAATTCAAGCTGGCCACAATGGAGAATAGCACAGAAGTGACAGAGTTTATCCTCTTGGGATTAACAGATGACCCCAATCTTCAGATACCCCTCCTCCTGGCATTTTTATTCATCTACCTCATCACCCTGCTTGGGAATGGGGGAATGATGGTGATCATCCACTCAGACTCCCATCTCCACACTCCAATGTACTTTTTCCTCAGTAACCTCTCCCTTGTAGACTTGGGTTACTCATCAGCTGTAGCCCCCAAAACGGTGGCTGCATTGCGGTCAGGGGACAAGGCCATCTCCTACGATGGATGTGCAGCTCAGTTCTTCTTCTTTGTGGGGTTTGCCACTGTTGAGTGCTACCTCCTGGCCTCCATGGCCTATGATCGCCATGCAGCGGTATGTAGGCCTCTTCATTACACCACCACCATGACAGCAGGTGTGTGTGCCCTCCTTGCTACTGGTTCCTATGTCTCTGGCTTCCTCAATGCCTCTATCCATGCAGCAGGCACCTTCAGACTCTCCTTCTGTGGTTCTAATGAGATTAATCATTTCTTCTGTGACATTCCCCCACTCCTGGCTCTCTCATGCTCTGACACACGCATCAGCAAGTTGGTGGTCTTTGTGGCAGGCTTCAACGTCTTTTTCACCCTCCTGGTCATCCTTATTTCTTACTTCTTCATATGCATCACCATTCAGAGGATGCATTCTGCTGAAGGGCAGAAGAAAGTCTTCTCCACCTGTGCTTCCCATCTCACTGCTTTGTCCATCTTCTATGGCACAATCATCTTCATGTACTTACAGCCCAACTCCAGCCAGTCCGTGGACACAGACAAAATAGCCTCTGTGTTTTACACAGTGGTGATTCCCATGCTGAATCCCTTGATATACAGCCTTAGGAACAAAGAAGTGAAAAGTGCTCTCTGGAAAATACTCAACAAACTTTACCCCCAATATTAAATGTGAATGGGAAGTAGGCAAGCAATTAAGGGATAAACTTTCTCTCACACCTAAATGCCATCATGACTTTTAACGTTTGACTGGTTTCAGTTCTTTCTTCCCCAAGAACAGCGGTTACTTCTGCTATTAGAAGATGTAAAAAGCAGCACGTTGAAAGTCTTACTTAGAAAGATAATCTTATATTTAGTGAACAACAACATGGGACAGTTAAGCTTTTCTTGCTTTAGTTTCTTGACGTGGTTTAAAGCAGAAGATTGAAGCATACAAATGAATGTACCAAATTTTCCTCATCCTGTTTTTAATTGTAAGAATTTTTCATTCACTATTAAACTTGGTGTAAAGATTTCACCTTCATTTTTATCAACTGAACACACAGTATCTTTTTTATTCTTTTGTTCTGCGAGTTTGAAAGTTGGACTTTCTGAGGTAGACAAAGGATGTTTCAATATTTTAAATGATATTTGAGAGAAAGTTGTAATTTAAAGGACAAGGCACTAGATCGAGTCAGGTAGCTGACGATTAAATCTTTCCAACCCCTTACTCTCCCTTCTCTACCCACATTCCTATCCTACTCACTAGTCATGTGCCTTTGTAATTTCCATTCCCTTTTGCTAAATCATTGGGGAAACATTACACCTTGTTATATACAGAAATATGGGAATGCTTTAATAGATGAATTACTTCAACTTTAACCTGACTAAATACAACTTCCTTCGGAGAGCCTACACTATCTTTTATGTTTCTTGTCTCTGTCTAACATAATTACCAAAACTTCCAGAAGGTTTAGAGAAAAAAAGCAGTTTTCCCTAGAGCTATGAAAAAATATATTTGTTTTCTGAATTAAATGCTTGCATTTCTTAGCACCCTTAAGTTTGGTGAATCTATTATGAAGATATATAATAGCTTTCTGGACTGTCTTTGCTTTTACTTTTTCAATAATTCAGCTCACCTCTGGGTCTCCATTGCATTCCGGTGTTCTGTAATTAGATGCTACAAGAATAAAAAAGCCTGCCTGGAAATTTACTTCTTAGGAACAGCACGGTGACGCACAGTGCTAGTACACCTTCAGGTCTTGTTTCATGTGCTAGATGGTGTGAGCAAATGTGTGTGTGTGGGAAGGGAGTGGTGATTAATTTCACTTCTCACGTATCAACTCCTTGATGGTGTTTATAACTACAGTTAATCTAAGTCACCACAATAGATCATGATTTCAAAATCTCCCCAAAAAACCCAACAAATTAATTTTGACCTTATAGATGAAAACCAGAAATCTTGGTTGGCTAACTCAGTTGGCTTAAAATGTCAATTTAGTTTTCAGATTATCAAGCTCCATTATGTACAGGGCAGCCTCTGTCTGAGGAGGATAAATCATAAGTCTTCTGGGAAAAATTGCAAAGAAGGAGTTATGGAACATGAGAAACATGAGAATAGCTTTCTCTGGCACATGGTTGCCATCACCTGAAAAGATCAGGAGCTTCTGAGCCCAAGGCCTAGACAACCTATACCTCCCCCATTCAGCCCCCTCCCTCCCCTCTTCTTTAGCAATGAGGCCTATTCAGCAACACACAGGAAGAACAGCCTTTACAGGCCAGGATCCACTGCATATAGGAATCTTTCTCATTGAAATCTACAGAGCTCAAGAGTATCTGCATTTGGAGAAGAGCCTGGGAAGCAGCTATCCAAGCACTGGGTGCATTCCAATCTCAGGTACACATTTTCCCTACTTGATATAATTGACTTTTTTCCCTCCTCATCCTGCTCCTCCTTCTTTACTTCATTTTATCCTTCTCCTCTTTTTCTTTCCCAACTTCTTTCTATGCCCAGCCCAAGCAGGAACTTTCCTCACCACTAGGCCATTTAGATTTCTATAAAAAAATTAAAGTCTAGAGTCTATATATCATAACCATTACAGTATATATTAAGATGTGTATCTGGGCATGTTTATTTCTTTTATGGTTTTAATTTTTATTTCATTAGTTTTGGGGGTACAGGTTGTTTTTGGTTACATGGATAAGTCCTTTAGTGGTGGTTTCTGAGATTTTAATGTGCCCATCACCCGAGCAGTGTGCCCAATATATAGTCTTTTATTCCTCACCTCCCTCCCAACCTTCCCCCATCGAGACCCCAAAGTCCATTTTATCATTCTTATGGACATATTTTGTTATGCCTCTATACCTCAGTTTAGGCAGGAAAATGTGGGCCTCCTGAGATTTAAGGGCTCAATGTCTACATATTTATATTTTATGTTGAAATCACCTCAAACAAGTGTTCTATCTGACTGTAAATAGGTATAAAAGAGTACTATCAAAAGCTGGATGAAAATTCTAACTGTTCTTATCAATTGTGTGACCTCAAGAAAGTCATTTAGTCTTACTGAACCCAATATACAGGATAAAGTGTGAGGGTAATATGAAATTAAGTATGTGAATGTGCCCATCATAATGAATGTGTATTTCATACCATTGAGATTTCTATACTAGCTCTTTCTTCACTTAGCTCTCCCTGGACTTCTTATTTTGGCTCTTGAGCTGCCTGAGCAAAAATAGGAAGTCCAAGGACTGATAGGTGAAGCTCGTCCCATCCAAATCCTAGCTTTTATTTTCATTCCTTGTTTAACTTCCTGCCCTCCAAGTTCCCAGCTCTACAGCAGACATATTTCAAGCTGACATTACACGGGTATTCATTTATAGAAACTACTCAGAAGGAGATGTCCTGTCGCCAGCAAGACATCAATTCACAGAGTATACGTTACTGCAAGGAGCTCTTCCCTTCCACATAGGAAATCTGTCAAATGGAGACTAAATGCCCATTTGGTTAATAACAACACCCACTTGCTCCCTGCAGGAATTGTCTGATGAATGAGAGACCTTGTGCGTAGGGCCTGCCGCTCAATGCAGTGCAATAAAGGCACAGGGACTTCCTACCTGAAATGTTCAAAAAAGAATGTGAAAATTCATAAATCAGGGCAGTTATTTATATCAGGATAGATTATTCTTTCAAAAATGGATTATGATTGAATTATTCTAAATAGGATGTTCCCTTTGTGCATTAAAGCATTTGTTGAGGTTTATGTATTGGGAGTGGAAAATTAAAATATTAAATTCCTTGGCAATTGAAGCTGGAATTGCGGAGTCATAGACTCTTTAGCCAAAAGCTGAAAGAATTTAAAACTAATCTAAACCAATCCTCTCATTTCACAATTAAAAACCCCGATTTTTACAGTTTAACTTGCTTAAACTCACAAAGAACCAAATCTTGTTTGACCCTTTTTTATATTTTATAAAGTACTTGTGGTATAAAAAGAAATTTTATACTTTTACCTTCATTTATTCACCATGATATAGTTATTTGTGCTTCAGTTTTGCAGTGGAGGAAACCAAAGCTTTGAGAAGTTAACTTACCTGTCTACTGTTAAAAAGAGGAACCGAGGTGTGAAACTGAGTTTTTGCCTTCCCTGACCAAGACTCTGAAAAAATAAGTCACCAAGTACGTTAGTAAATTTCAATGGAGGTCTTACTTAATGTGTAACTCACTTACACTCTTCCATAATGAGTCCTTGCCATGTGGAAGGCACTCTGAAGAATACAAATAAGACTGTAAGATGTAATTCCTACTTCCACAAAGTAAAGCCCCCTGCATATATGTTTACTGATGTAATGCACCTTAAGGTTAATGACTCAATGTTCAGTAACTACCAGCAGGAATTTTCCCAGTATTCCACAGAGCATGAATGGATCAGGGCATATTTGTTTTCAGTCTTGATAGAGTTGGCTCTTTGAGTGCCGCAGCCGACAGTGATAGCCCAGCCTCAGCCAATGTTAACTAGACACAAGCTGCAGAAAAGGCATGGTGTGAAGTTGATGAAGAAACCAGTTGATATTCAATATTGTTCCTGCTTCAGGAGCAACTTACAAATAACGTGGTGGAACAGAGGACATACGTCTAGGTAGATGATAGTTCAAAGACATTTGTGGCCATTATCAAATGAATAGTCTAGAAAATAATAATTAGAACTCATCAGGGACAAGAAAGAATCCTATGGGCAGGGGAAGATCCTCAGAGGATGTGGGATGTGAGCCAAGCTCTGAAGGAATAATGTAGATGGAACCCAGAATTCCAAGATTCCAACCTTACTTTCTAGTCAAAACTCTACCAATTGCCAGTGGTGAAGCTGGTATAAGCCACGTATCTCTGAGCCAATTTTCTTATCATCAAAGTGAAGACAATAGCACCAGCCATACCTTCCTTAGGGCGTTTTGCAGGCTAAATGAGATAGTGGGTGAGAAAGCATCTTCAGAATTGCTACCCTCTTTTGAACTATAGTGTTGCTGTTGGTAATAACATAAGCAGAGCTGAATGGGGAGTTCCTAAGCAACCATCTGAACTCGGGTATGGAGGTGGGATTGCACATGGCATGTTGGCAGGAGCTTGTAGGAAAGTTGGTCATTCAGATTAGAAGAGGGTCAACCACTAATGCCTCAGTCCGTTACTTTTACAGGCAATTGAAACTTGTTGTCATCAAACAAGGTGAAGAGACTGGGCCTTTGAGAATAATTGCATCTCTATAGAGAAATCATGCTTTTACAGAAAAATTTCTGTAGGATCTCACCTATCAGGTATCTAGATCCAAGCCTGAGAATTCTCCCTCCTGTTCATAACATGGAATTTCTCAGTTGTTAGCCTGTGATTATTTCACAAAATGTGTGGGGGGAGGGATAAGATATTTGTAGCATATTTAATTAGGAAAAAAAGTTATTGTATATACATATGCATATACACATGTGTGTGCATATTTATGTGTCTATATATATACACATATGTGTGTGTGTGTATTTTAAACTTTCTGGAAAACAGTAAGAAAAAGACAGATAACCCAATAGAAAATACAAAGTTTAATTGTCCAGTCTCCTTTTTCATGTTCATTTATATGGCCTATCTACAGTTTGGGGTAGTGATGAATTATGCTGATGTGAACATTTTGATCATGTATCTTGGTGCACAAATGCATTAATTTTTCTAGGCTAAATATACCTGGAAGTAGAATTGCTGAATTGTAGGGTTTATTCATTTTCAACTTTTGTAAATAATGTGATGCTATTTTCCAAAGTAGTTATGCCAATTTTTACTTCTATGAACAGTGTGTGGGAGTTCTTACTGCCAGTACTTAGTATTACTGGAGTTATAAATTTTACCAGTTTGGTTAGAGAATAGTGTCTTTTATTGTTGTCTTAATTTGTACTATCTTGATTACTGCTGAAGTTCAGCACAGTTTTGTTTTTTTTCCCCAAATTTTTCACCTATTTTTATTTGTGTAAAAATGAACCACAAATAAATACAAACAGAATAAACAGAAATGAATACATGGGGAGTTAATTTGTTCTATTCCTGAGTGATAGAAATTGATGTTTGCTTGGTAATTGTTGTTAAACTGAATCTAGAATTTTTTTTTATATTTGAAAGAGCTTTTATTTTTAAAATACACTCATAATAATAAGAATTTAGTGATAATTTTACAGTGTGCAAGCTATGAGGTCTAGTAAAAGAACACTGTGGTCTTTGAAATTGAAAAAAAAACTAGGTTTATGTGCTGCTATCATCTACTGTCTGGACCCTCTACAAGCTTCACTTTCCTAATCTATAAAAGGTAACAATAAATTCCCAGAAAGCTATTGGGAGTAATAAATTAGTTAAGGTATATAAAGCATCTAGCAAATCACATTGACTAAATAAATATCAGTTCCCTTCCCTCTTCTCCCAAGCCTCACTTATTTAAACAATATTCGCTGAGTGCCCACAGTGGACTATTTCTTTAACATAGGTGACCTATGAATCAAGCAAATATAATAAACACATACTTCAGATCCTAGGTCAAAAATATGTGCGGGCTTTGGAGTGAGGGCATACAGTGGAGTGAAATAAAGAGTTCAGAAACAACTATATATATATATAGATATGCTGAGGCTGGGCGCGGCTGCTCCTGCCTGTAATCCCAGCACTTTGGGAGGCGAGGCCAGCAGATCACCTGAGGTCAGGAGTTTGAGACCAGCCTGGCAACATGGTGAAACCCCATCTCTACTAAAAATACAAAAATTAGTGGGGCATGGTGGCAGGTGCCTGTAATCCCAGCTACTTGGGAGGCTGAGATAGGAGAATTGCTTGAACCCGGGAGGTGGAGGTTGCAGTAGCTGAGATCGCACCACTGCACTCCAGCCTGGGCGATAGAGCTAGACTCCATCTCAAAAAAAATGTGTGTGTGTGTGTGTGTGTGTGTGTACAGTGTGTGTGTGTGTGTGTGTATATATATATATATATATATATATATATATGTATGTATATAGTATGTATATATATGCTGCATCCTTGGGCCAACATTAGTGAAGTCCATATCAGTTAAAGGAATTTGTTGGATTTTGCCTGATTAAAAACAATTGTGATGACATGGTCAGAAATATCAAAGAAGTGCTAGTTTGGTGAAAAAGGTGAGAAGTTTGCCCCATAATATGTTGTATTTTAGATGCTAACATGTCTCCTCTCTGGGGATGTGCCTCAATACTTAGAAACCTGAACTGGGAGCTCAGAAGAAAGGTGAAAGTTGAGACTGGGTAGATAAGGAAAGCCAAATGAACCTACGTATTTTATGCACCTTTTTTTGAATACCAAATTTTATATATATATACACACACATATATATGTATATATAAAATTTGTATTATATATACACATACATACATTATATATACATGTATGTATAAATAAAAAATAAAATATATTTATATATGTTAGACACACACACACCAAAATATATATCACAGTAAAAATATTAAAAAAGGTAAATCAAACAAAGCTCTTATATTTTAGAAAGTGATATAACTAAATTTCTGTTATAAACTTTTCTGTATATGTTACATTTCACACTTCAAATGTTTAGAAACAGACCCAACAGAGCTCCTATATTCAATAAGTTTATTTAAAAAAAACTAAAGGGGAGATAAGACCTATACATAAGTAACTTTAATTCTGTGTAGAAAATAATAAAAACCAACAAGAGATACATATAAAATGCTATAGTAATAGTTGAAGGGTAGATTCTAGGGTGGGGAATTGAGGAAGATAACTTTGCTCTGGACAAGAAAGAGAGATACAGTAAAATAGAAATTATTCAGATATATTTCACAAATAGTGTCTGTTTGGCTGAAGTGTAATATCTGTGGAGAGAAGTAATGGAAAATAAGTTTGGAATGATACACTGGTGCCCAACAGTAGGGATATTATCTTTCAAATTGAGGTTTTCAAATTTAAGCTATAGATTCAAACTTCAATAAAGAAGTTCTGGACATCATGCACATAGACGTCGGAGATAAGGCAGAATCTCAACTGCTGTAGAAGAATATTTAAAACAGCTTTCCTTATGCACCTATGTTAAAGTAAAGCACTTGTTTGCTTCAGAGGAAATTTTCAGCATTTTATGTATGAGCACATATCCACCTAAAACATTATTTGAGCACCTGCTCTAGCAAATATTGGTATTCTGTGTATCCAGAATCCATTTTCCTGCTTAAAATATCGTGACTTTCTTGGAGAATGATCTCTTTCTTGGAGAATAGATTGGTGGGAGAAGAGTGTCTAGTTCCTGTACCCTCTCCACCCACAAGTCTATGGAAGCTGAGGCAAGGATAACCTTTCCTTCCCTGCCCCCTAAGGAAGAGAAATCTATACAGAGAGATTCATGGAGGTATATAGAGAGGCAGGCATGAGTCCTAAGCTCAGCCAACAAAAAGTTCTCACTCCCCTAAATTTGAATCTGCAAGGGATGGAAAGAAGCATCAAGGCTTGGAGCTCATTTGCTATAGCAGGGAAATGTTGGTGGGGCCATTCCAGACATGACATGGTTCTTTGCTTCCGACTTCTGTTCCTTAGCCCTCTGAAGTGCTCCTGGTTCCTGCATTTTGCCCAGTTTCCTTTTGATTCTGCAAACCTCTTGATATCCTTTCAATTACCTCTTTTGTTTCCCTTCAAGTTAGCCTGAACTGGTGTCTATAATGAAACATAACTGATACCTCTAGCTTGTGAGAGATACTCTTCCATGGACAGTAGAGTGAACAAGAGAGAAGTCACTGACCTCACAAAATTATAAATGTTAAAGAGTATGGGGAATAAAGCACCCTCAATAATAAAAGAGAGGTCCACAACATTTCAATAAAAACCAAAAAGTGTTATAAAAAATTATCAGGAAATGAATAATGCAGAGGAAACACTGCCACAAAATTTAACTTAGCAGAAAATGAAGCAACTACCAAGGCATCCATTTTTAATTATTTTTGTTCTTGCTAACAATAGTAATAAACATCTGGAATTATTGGTACATAGGATGAAAGAGATCTTAGGGCTGTTTTTGTTCCCCTGTTGCATGTTACTGACTAGGAAGTTGAGGCCTGGGGAGGAGAAGTGGTCTCTGAATTCTCACATCCAGGAAGTGACAGAGTGAGACTTTGTGCAGTATTCTAACTCTGCATACCACCTCACACACCACAGCTGCTCTGGCTGGCGGCCACAACCCCTTTTGTGTGTATGAGCACACATTTAGTTTGCTTAATGTTTTTGATAGAGTCAGAAACATTTTTCTTACAAACACGTTTGTCCTTATAAACACATTACTGATTTTCTGTTCAGATAATGGTCACTTTTTATCTGAATAATGTATGAGCCTGGCTAAAGCTGGACAACGTTGTGTCCAGGAGCCAGTATGCTGACTTTCAAGTTAATTGCAACAACCACTTCTTTTTAGGTCCCTCGTTGGCTGCTCGTCAGATTTCTCTCTTCAATTCCAAGCGCATCTTATGTAAACAATAGTGTCTATGATAGTGGATGTGATTGTGTGCTACCTGGATCTCCTAGCTGAAATCCTTCGAAGAATTTCCTTCAGTCAATGGGAGCCACCTCCCCTGAGGTTATGGCTCCAGGTGAAGATTAAACAGCTGTAGAAGTGTCATCCAAGATTGGCCAGTGAGTAGTATGAAGGCCTGCCCCTGCTTGTCCTGTTTCCTTGACACAGCTCCCAAGAGCCATCTCAGCTCCCAAGCACCCTAAAGGATTGGCTGAGGCCTTTATTGAGACTGCATTGCAGCACAATTTCTCCCTCTCTCTAATTCTGCTGCCATCTCTCCCTTACAGATGCTGTTCCTGAGAGTCCTTCCTGGAGAGCCATCTGCACACAGATCTCAGTCTCAGAGTCTATTTCCCAATGAATCTAATCTGAGAGATCTCTTCATTTGCTGTTTTTTCCCTGTATGAAATAGTTACTTTGTTTTACTTTATTTTATTAAGTTCAGTGGTACATGTGCAGGTGTGTTATATAGGTAAATTGTGTGTCATGGGGGTTTGGTGTACAAATTATTTCGTCACCCAGGTAATAAGCATAGTACCTGATAAGTAGTTTTTCAGCCCTCTTCCTCCTTCTCACCCTTCACCCTCAAGTAGGCCCTGGTGTCTTTTGTTCCATTCTTTGTGTTCAAATGTTTAGCTCTCACAAGTGAGAACATGTGATATTTGGTTTTCTGTTCCTGTGTTAGTTCACTCAGGATAATGGCCCCCAGCTCCATCCATGTTGCTGCAAAGAACATGATCTTGTTTCTTTTTATGATTGCATATTATCCCATAGGTTATATGTGTCACATTTTCTTTATCCAGTCTACTGTTGATAGGCATTTAGGTTGATTCCATGTCTTTGCTCTTGTGAATAGTGCTGCAATGAACATATGCGTATATGTGTCTTTATGACAGATCTATTTATATTCCTCCTGGCATATCCCCAGTAATAGGATTGCTGGGTCAAATAAGAATTCTGTTTTAAGTTATTTGAGAAATTGCCACACTGTTTTCCACAATTGCTGAACTAATTTATGTTCCCCCCAACAGTGTATAAGCATTCTCTTTTCTCTGCAACCTCACAAGCATCTGTTATTTTTTGACTTTTTAGTAATAGCCATTCTGACTGGTGTGAGATGGTATCTCATTGTGGTTTTGATTTTCATTTCTCTAATGATCAGTGATTTTAAGCATCTTTCATATGCTTGTTCACTGTATGTTTTCTTTTGAAAACTGTTTGTGTCTTTTGCCCACTTTTTAATGGAGGCTGTTTGTTTTTTGCTTGTTAATTTGAGTCCCTTATAGATTCTGGATATTAGACCTTTGTTGGATGCATAGTTTGCAAATATTTTCTCCCATTCTGTAAGTTGCCCTTTTTACTCTATTTGTTTCTTTTGCTGTCCTCATCCACTCTTAATTCTATGATAATTTCTGATGGCCAAATAATGTTTTACCTTCTTTAAGATTGCTATTTGTGTTGCTAAGAACATCAGAGATAAGATCCTAAATCTTTAGACTTGTTTCTTGAAGTAAGCAGAAAACAGTGGCTAGTGTGCACAAAATTCACATTTCCTAGAGATGTAAAGAGCCTTAGAAGCTGTCCCCTCCTCAAATACTTCCTGATGGTTTTGTGTGTGCTGTGAGCTCTGGTGGGCATTTTCACCTTTGTTGTTTCTCATAATTACCCTGTTAACATTTAGGTTATTATCCTAGTTTTATAGTTGATAAAACCAAGGCCCAAATATGTGAAGTGACTTATCAAGGATTAAACAGATGAAGAAGTGTCATCATTTTCTACTAAATGATAACCTGTGATTTATGAATCAGATTTCCCATTTTATAGATGGTAAAACTAAGGCTCAGATACAGATGCTAAGTGATAGAACCAGGATACCGATTCACTCTTTTGCTGGCCTACAAACCCTTTATACTCTATTCTTACCTCCCCATCATGTTCTACCTTTTTTCAGATGAGAAAACTAAGGCAAAAAAAAAAAAAGAAATCTCAAATGTTTTTTCCCATGTCATATAGATAGACTGGTGGTGTTGAGTCTAGGCTCCAGATTTTCTATCTCCCACTCCACACCACCACCTAGCTGTCCTGCTCAGCATGCTCAGAATCTGTAGGACTCCAGCTGCCTTTTCCAAACCTGGTCGGTGCAATGGCATTCTCACTTTGACTGCAAAACTCCTCACCAAATATAAAACTGAAAATGTAGGCCACCTGTCCATGTGATTGTATTTCATAACTTAGAGCTAAAAATAGCTCTCAGCTTGCTTGGCCTGTATATAACATATTAAAAGCTCAAATTCAAATTCACTCGCATCTTGGATTAATGTTAAGATTATGGCTTTCCAGACTTCTTTCTCTCACATTCTATCTCACCCAGCAGGGAATGGATTGTGCTTGTCCACATTATTTTCTATGTGAATTACTGAGCTCTTATTTTCAAAGATGAATTTCGTGACCTTATGCTCTTTGCTGTACCTGCAGAATTCATTTTGGAGGGCACAGACTCTAGAACCAGACAGCAGGGTAAGGCTGGGTATCTGTGGCCAAGGCATGAAAATTTTGCCTTGATTTCTTCATCTGTGAAATGGAGACGAAATCATACATATTTCCTGAGGCTGTTTTGAGAAGTAAACACACTAATTCATGGCTAGTGTTTAGCTAAAATCTGGACACACACACAGAGTGGACAAATATGATAATTAAAAGCAAAAATCAACAAAATAAAAAATCACCACCGCATAGCATGACCAATTTGTCCTAGTTTGCCTGGAACAATCTGTTTTCTCACTGAAAGCCCCAAATCTCAGAAAATTTCTTAATTCTGGGCAAATTGGAACGGTTGTTTACTCTATTCACCACCAATGAAACAAACAAAAGGTTCTGAGTAATTCATTTATTCAAGAAGTGTTTATTTATAACTAATAAATTCTAGACAGTGTGATGGTATTTTAAAGGTAAACATGACAAAAATGTATCCTCATGGAACACTCAAGCTAATGAGAGAGAATTATGAAAATGGGAAAATTGTATATGTGCTGTCCTGAAAACTGGCATGAAATGGACAAAGAGTGTAATTCTGAGATGCATTGTATTCAGTGGGACACAATCCAGGAATTTCATGGATTACACACTTCTGTCTAATGCTACTTTTTTTTTTCCCCAAGCAAAATGCTATGGGGAGTTAACAGGGTTACATATGAAAAAGCTTTCCATAAGCAGGTAAGTTAAACAGCTTGCTGTTACATTACTACAGTACTTCTCAGCATCTTTAATAGCCTACTGAACACTTAAATCTCAGATGGGGATGTTTTAAGTATTATTTCTGAACTTTTAGACTTTTCAACAACATAGAATTTTTTTAAAACTCATGTGATGGTACCAATATTCCGTAGGGCTTTGACAGAAGGAAAATCTAAGTGGTATTAGGCATTGAACACAGAAAGCTCAAAGTAGGAAGAAAAGTGCCAAACCCCAACTCCTCATAAATAGAGACAGAAGTCATGCTTCAGTCATCAGAGCCAGAGCTGTGGTTCTTAACCGTTTTTCTTTTGGTTCATGAGCCTTGTTTCAGAATTTAATGAGCACATGGATGCATAGAGGATAAGAAGCTTCAATCAAGAGCCTTGAAATTCACAGAGCATGCTGAAGAGATGCTAAGTCTTCTTAGGAATTGAAAAATCTTCTCTAAGTGAATTTTGATCCTTCCTATCAGCAGAGATGGAAAGAACCTGCAGACTGAAATAAATACTAACACAAGAAAGAAATTCCACGTGTGGACTAGCATGGGATAATAGTGTAGAATGCATAGAAGCAGGACTTAGATGAAATATAGTAGTCACTTTCATATATGGAGTGCTTACTATTACATGCTTTATCTTATTTAATCAAGAGATATTTATCCTGGTATTTAGGCTGTGGCTTCTGAAATCAGACTTCTTGGTTTTGAATATTGTTTTTGCCATTTACTGGTGATGCAACCTGGAAGAAATTACTAAAATACCTCTAAGTCTTGTAATTCCCATCTCTAAAGTAGCAATCATAAGACAGTAGTATCTTTTTCATCAGGCTTGTAGAGGTTTCATGACATAATTGCTGCAGGCTGATTTCTAACTCATAGTAAAGCTCAGTAAATATTACCTAATGTTTTTCATATTATTATTAGGTGGATATTATTCTTAGCATTTTCATTTCATGGAAGAGGTAACTGAGAACAGGAGTGATCTATAGCAGACTCTTCCTATCAACCCCATTTAGGGGTTCATTATTGGGGAGAAACAGGAAAGCAGTGTCATATATTTCAGCCTCATTTTTCTCTCAGAAGAAATTATATTAATAAAATAATGTTCTTGGTCTCTTTCTAAATTATTTTTCTCTGAGTCATCCTTTATGCAAGTGATATTTATAACTTTGTGAATCACACCCACACTTGTGTGGGTTCTCTCCTTGGGTCATATGTATTTTTAGTGTGTCTTTATATTTTGGGGACACGGGGAGATGTTCTTTATAACAGATATGTAACTTAAGATACTCTCTTCTGATTTAGGAGGGACCTTCATATCCCAGGACCTGCTGAAGTCATTCCGAACAGGTTTAAGTTGCCTCTGGTCTGTCCTCTGTCCCACCTACACAGCACAAGTAAAAAGGAGAGAGAGAAACCACTGAAACAAAAACATTCTGTATTTTAAAGTCAGAAGCAAAAGTCTTTATTTCCTTTTTTTTTCTTTCTTTTTTTTTTTTTTGAGACGGAGTCTTGCCTTGTCGCCCAGGCTGGAGTGCAGTGGCGCGATCTCAGCTCACTGCAAGCTCTGCCTCCCGGGTTCACGCCATTCTCCTGCCTCAGCCTCCCAAGTAGCTGGGACTACAGGCGCCCGCCACCACGCCCGGCTAATTTTTATATTTTTGTAAAGAGAGGGTTTCACCCTGTTAGCCAGGATGTTCTCGATCTCCTGACCTCGTGATCCACCCGCCTCGGCCTCCCAAAGTGCTCGGATTACAGGTGTGAGCCACCGCCCCCAGCCTCCTTTTTCTTTTTTTCTTTTTTAAAGATTTTGATAAGAACACAACATGAAATCCATCCTCTTCATAAATTTGTAACTGCACAGTACAGTATTGTTAACTATAGGTAAAATGTTGTATAGCAGATCTTGCATAACTGAATTTTTTTTTTTTTGGAGGCAGGATCTCACTCTGTCCCCCAGGCTGAAGTGCAGTGGTACTATCATAGCTCACTGTAACCTCGAACTCCTGGGCTAAAGCAATCCTTCCACCTCAGCTTCCCAAAGAGCTAGGATTTCAAGTGTGAGCCACTGCAACTGGCCTCATAATGGAAACTTTATACCCTTCGAGCAACTCAGCATTGCCCCCTCCCCCTGCCCCTAACAACCACCATTCACTGTCTGTTTCTATGAGTTTGGCTATTTTAAATACTTTATAAAAGTGGAATCAAGTAGTATTTGTCCTTCTGTGATTGGCTTGTTTCACTGAGCGTAATGTCCTCCAGGTTCATCCATGTTGTTGCATATGGCAGAGTTTTCTTCTTCTTAAAGGCAGACAGTATTCTACACAGGTTTGAGCTTCTTCTGATTTCTTCTCTGTCCAGCCTATGTGACACAGCAAGAGAAAGAGAAAGAGAGAGAAAGGGAGAGGGAGAGGAAAACAGAGAGGAGCCAAAGAAACATAAATGTTCTGTGATTATTTTTAAGTCAGGAATGAATGTTTTTATTTATTTTTAAATAAAACAGAAAAACACCTCTAAAACTCTTGGAAGGTTCATGATCATCTGCCGACCTGTGTTTGTTTCATTCATGAAGTATTTAACTCAGTCCACATCCAACAAAAATATTTAAAGGGCACTCCAGAATGTGTATAACTCTGCCACGAGAGGGCTAGTTTGACTTGGCCAGATGGTCACTTGAATTCCATCATTCATTGATTGATAGGCTTATTATTTCAATATACATTTGTGAGGCACCTGCTATAAGCTAGACCCTAGCAAGCATATTGACTGCCTCATAGTATACATACTGGTGGTTGGATATGGAAGTTGAATTTTATTCTCTAGGCAGTCACAGATGTCATTTTGTCATTTCTGTCTTTCCCTCTACATCCTGCTCTGCCATTTCTCTGGTGCACCATGCCACAGGAGGCTCACTTTATAAACTAGATGATCTGGACTCCCTTTCCTTGTGGCTTCATGGATTTGGCCAGTTGGTGATCAAAAGGCAGGAGGAAAGAGATGCTGAGGTCTTTATTCCCTCAACTCCCTGCTTGCTGAGCTGGAGATTGGTAGTAGCTGCATTTTTCTATTGAAATTCACACCCCTGCCAGGCTTCCCCTTTCTTATGGCTACCTTTTGCTGCATGAGAAATAATGTTATTTCTATATAGACAGTTATAATTATTTGAACTTCTTTATATCACATATAAGTCTACCCAGATTGGAAATAAGAGTTTCTATCAGCATGTGATTTAAATTATAGGATAAGTATTATTCAACTGTTGCTTTTTTGTTACAAGAAATATTAACCCTAAAATGGAAACTTAATTGTGAATTCCTTATTTTTTAACTGTTTGTTTACTTCATGATTTTAGTCATTTTAGTCATTTTAGATATAGTTGAAGGCACTTTATATTAGTAATAAGGTCAAATGTATAACTGTAAATAATAATAATATGTTTTAAAATCTTTTTAATTGAATAATAATTGCATATATTTATGGGGCAAAATGTGATGTTTTGATATATGTTTACACTATGGAATGATTAAATCAGGCTAACACATCTAGCACCTCACATACTTACTACTTTTGTGGTAAAAATATTTAAAATGGACTTAATTTTAAAATATGAAATGCATTATTGTTTATTATAGTCACCATTCTGCACAATAGTTCACTAAATCTTATTCCACTTGTTTAACTGAAACTTTGTACCCTTTGATCAATGCCTTTCTCCATTCACCTCCCTCCCTCCTCAAATTCTGATAACCTTCATTCTACTGTCTACTTGTATGAATTTAGCTTTGTTTTTTAGATTCCACATATAAGTGATCATATGATATTTGTCTTTATTTGCATGGCTTATTTCATTTAACATGATGCCCTTCAGGTTTATCCAGGTTGTCACAAATAATAGGATTTCTCCTCCTCTTAAGGTTGAATAGTATTCCATTGTGTATATAATTATCAAAAAGATGAGTGATAATGTGTTGGCGAGGGTATAAAAAGGGAACCATGGTGCGCTGTTGATGAGAATGTAAGATAATTTGTATAACCTTGTGGAAACAGTATGGGAGTTCCTCAGAACACTAAAAATAGAATTACCACATAACAATAGGTTTTTAATTATATATTTACTATGCTGAGTCCTGCCATTTGTGAGTCAGTCATTTTCTTTCCAATGGGTTTCAGTGACTGTCTCCCCATTTTAAGTATCATGATCACATATCTGTTTACATTCATTGATCTCCTCATCCCCCTGCCCCATGTGTAATTACAGAAGGACTATTATGTATGTGCTTCCAACCTCACTGTGGTGTCCACCTTCAGTTAGGATCATCATTCTCCTGTCTTCACAGCTCAGATGCAGCCCTTTTGTGGACACAGACAAAATTACATTCCTATTTTGCCATAGTCATTCCTACCCTGTACCCTCTGTCCATAGCCTAAAGAATAGGGGAGGTCAAAGTGCCCTTAGGAAAGTTCTTGTGAAAGCAAAATCTCAATTAAGTTTGCAGCTTTCTGAGCACATAACAATCAGAATACACTTTATTTCACTTTTCCATATCTGCAATGGCACATCCTTCAATATTCACACACCATTTCTTCAACAGCAGGGGAGAGCAGGAGAAGGTCACATTTGCCAAGCATTGACTCTGGTCAGGCATTTTTAGTTTCATTTAATTTTTATAAAATCTGTATTAAATTCCTGCTATAATTCTGATTATTTAAATGTAGAAGCTAAAATTTAAAGGGACCAAATACCTTGCTAAACAGCTGATAGATACAGATTCAACATCCAAACTTGCTGTCTGACTTCAAAGTGTATTTTTTTGAAAACTGTATTCTTCTAGTTTTTCTTTTTTGAGGGTGAGCTTTTGTTTATTTTTAAAATTTTTATTTTTAATTATTATGTACCCATTATATTGTACATTGTACAATGTACACATGTATACAATACACATGTATACAATATACATGTGTATATTGTACATAACAATATATATTTTTGATATTTTGATACAGGCATACAATGTGTAATGATCAAATCAGTATAATTGGGGTATCCATCATTTCAAGCACTTATCATTTCTTTGGTCATTGCCATCTGACAGTATTAGTTCTTGAGATTAGGAACAGTCTGGTTCATCTCTCCATCTCTAGCATCTAGCTGGATGAAGAAGATGGTGAGTAAGTGTTGGAATGGGTGTATGCAGTCAAATACCAGTTTTGGCAGTATCAGTTCTCAGTTGAAAGGTTTTAGAGCATTCACTTTGCATGATCTACTGATATCTGCCAAGGCACGTATCTGTGGCTGCTTTTGTTGACGTATTTCTGTAGTGTAAGCAAACCCTGAATTTAGAAAAATGCCTGAGAGATGAAGGAAACCCCAACAGAATTTGCTATTGGATTTTTCTCTTTCTGGATGGCATGGATAAACTTCATTCAATGGACTGTCATGGCTGAGTGGAACCTATGTTGAAGTATTACTTTCATGTCTGCTGTCTTATTTATCTTGGAATGACTTACTCAGTTTTGTTGGAGGAAAAAACAGTTGTTTCTTGTCTGTCATTTGAAGTGGACTCTATAAGGTATTCCATCTATTTTTTTTGAGAGAAATGCTTTTTACTCAAATAATTATGTGGCATGAGTGCTCATATATTTATTGAGTGTCAAACACTGTTGTAAAATGGTAAGTTCTTGATAATTTCTGGTGGTAAGTGTCACGATTGATTGCTTGCATTTTGTATGCTAGGCAGAGTAATGATAATTCAGAGATGAAGCTAACCTGGTAGACTGAGGTTGAATCAGTCTTCAACAAAGGCCTCCACTTTGCGGGGATGAAAAACACAGGTTCATAAAGTTGAGTTTGTTATACTCCACGGTTTATTTCACTCTACGTTTATTGGTCTCTGTCCCTCTTATCCTATTATTTAACTATTTTTCTCCCTTAATATTAATCTCCAACTCTTCCCCCCATTTCCTTTGTTGCAAAAGCATTAAGTCTAATATATTTAGATGTATGTGTTTCCTTGGAAACGATATTTTACAAATATTCTTAAATATTTTACAATATTTTAAAAATATTGAATATTCTTAAAATTTACATAAATGATGTGCTATAGATCTCATTCTTTTTTCATAGACTTTTTACTCAAGAGTTCACGTTAGAGATCTATCCATGTGCTATACGTAATTATAGTTAATTGTGTCAGACTACAGCATAACATTTTATGGTTTAAAAATGATAGTGCTATTGATATAAAACTTATATGCCATAAAATTCATGCTTCAAAATGTAAAATTGGTGGTTATTATTATATTTACAGAGTTATGCAACCATCACCACTATCTAATTTTAGAATATTTCTATCACCTAAAAATAAATCCCATTGGCAATCACTTTCCATTCCATTCTCCCCTCTTCCAATTCCCTGGAAAGCACAAATCTACCTTCTTCTGTCTTCATGTTGTAGCATGTGCCAATAGTTCATTCCTTTGTATAGCTGAGTAATATTCAATTCTATGTATATACCACATTTTGGCTATTCATTCATCAGCTGATAGACATTTTTTCCCACTTTTGGCTATTATGCTTCTATGAACGTTTATTTACAAGAGTTTGTTATGAACATACATTTCAATTCTTTTGGGTATATATTTAGGATTGGAGTTAGTGGGTTTTATGGTAACTTTATGCTTACCTTTTGAGAAGATATTTTACAGCACTATTTAAAAATTCTACCAGATATGAATGAGGGCTCCAACATCTTCAAATCATTACCAACCCTTGCTTTTGTCTGTCTTTTTGATTTTAGCCATTCTAGTAGTTCTGAAATGATATCTTATGGTAGTAAGTTTTGAAATCAGGAAGTCTAAGTCCTTCAACTTTTTCAAAATTATTTTGGCTATTCTGGATTCCTTGCATTTCTAAATAAATTTTAGGATTAGCTCGACAATTTCTTTAAAAGGAAAAGCAGCTAGGATTTTGCTGGACATTGTGTTGAATCTGTAGATCATTTGGGGGAATATTTACATGTCTGCCCTTAGCCTTTACTTCCCAGTTGTACAGAACCTGGTTGTACTTCCTGGTTGTACAGTAAGTCAAGGTCAGCCAGAGATAAGAGATTAGGGAGTTCTCAGGTTATCCTGATTATGGACACAATCCTGCATATGTGCATGGACTTCTGAACAACACTCATCTTCTCCAATTTTTCCTCAACCCCACTACTGCCATCTTGATAGAATCAGTTCTGGATATATTAGTTGGGGTTCTCCAGAGAACCAATAAGATGCATCTATGTCTATCTATCTATCTATCTATCTATCTATCTATCTATCTATCTATCATCTATCTGTCTATCTATCCATTTATTTACATCTTACTGAAAGGTATTGGCTTATGTGACTGTGGAGACTGAGAAGTTCAATGACGTGCTGTCCACAAGCTGAAGATAGAGGAAAGCTTGTGGTGTGATTCAGAGGCCTGAGAGCCAGAGAGCCAATGGTATATGTTCCTGTACAGGTCTGAGGGCCTGAGAGCCAGGAGTGCCCAGGGAAGGAGAAGATCTGTTTCCCAGCTCAAGCAATCAGGCAGAGTGTGAATTCAAGCTTCTTCACCTTTTTGCCCTATTTAGGTCCTTAACAGATTGGATCATGCTCACTCATATTAGGAAGGGCCATCTGCTTTACTCTATTCAATTCAAATGCTAATCTCTTCTGGAAACACCCTCACAAACACACCCAGAAATAATGTTTAACCAGTGATCTGGGCATGCTGTGGCCCAAGTTACATAAAATTTACCATCACAAGTTTGCCACTTGTGAACCTGACACCCATACACATCTCCTTAAACCAGGCTTGATCTCATTAAAGACAATAACAAGGACATAATCCACCTAACATTATACAACTATCCCACAAGCAACTGAAGATGCACTAATCCCTTCCCCAGAAGGTGAGGTAAAGTCCTTGAATGATGTTTACTCTTTTCCTTGATATCCCATAACTTAAAAACAATGATATAAAATTAACAATAGTTAAATTCTGATAAAGTCAATGTATCTTATGTCTCATGATAAAGTAATAAGAGAGGAAAGAAAACAAACACTCACACAAATATATATTTATAACAAACTAAGAAATACTCATGACAAATACAGTCTTTTTTTTATAACTGATAAAATGTCATAGCTGGCATTTATAACTACCTTCTTTTACAGGCTATTTTATATTCCCTGTATCTCCAGCAAGTACTTCAGATGTTCATGATTCTTTTCCTGAAGAGGTGACCCAAACTTTCATTCCTAAAGGGTCTGGACCATTCATAGTCCTGGCTGAATTGGGTCATTGTAGTTTTCCATTGACCTTGATCACAGGGTATGATAATATTAAGAGATGCCCAAAGGGATCTCTTTATTCCAGATATACTCTTCTTTTCCTCCATTATACAGTAGTAGTCCAGTTTCATTTTAGTAGTCCAGATTAATCACCCAGGCAGCACTGTAACTCATTTATTTGCCCATTGATTAAGAGGTATGAGAAATCCAAAGTGGCTGAATGGAATTCTTAATTTCCATTTCAATGGGTTCATTGTTGTGTGACATGCTTTCCTCCCTCTGGACTAAGACCTCTAAGCTAGCGCAGGGTAAGATTACAAGCAAAAGAAGCAAAATGTTTGTTAATGGGTCACTAGGGATTATTGTGAGAGGTGTCACTCCCATTTCCACCACTTGATTACTGGAACTATGTATCCTGGCCATGAGAGAAACAACATATATTGGATGTTGAACCTTGTCCCAGTCATGTAAGTTATTGACACCTAGCTCATGCTGTAAATGAGTCTTCAAAAGGCCATTTCACCATTCTATCAAGCCAGCTGCTTCAAGATGGTGGTTAACAATACCAGTGAATTCCATGAGCATGAGCCCATTGCCACATTTCTTTTGCTGTGAGGTGAATTCCTTGGTCAGACAGCATGCTATTTGGAAGGCCGTGATAAGGCATTTTGTAAGTCCATGAATAGTAGTTTTGGCAGAAGCATTGCCTGCAGTGAAAGCCAATTTGTATCTAAGGTAAGTGTCTATTCCAGTAAGAACAAATTACTGCCCCTTCCATGATTGAATTGGTCTAATGTTATCAACTTGCTACAAGGTAACTGACTGATCACCCTGGAGAGTGATATCATCTTGGGGACTTAGTGTTGGTCTTTACCATTGGCAGGTCAGGCACTCAGTGATGGATATATCAGGTTGGCCTTGGTAAGTGAAGGTCCATGTTGTTGAGTCCATGCATATCCTCCATCCCTGCCACCATGGCCACTTTGTTCATGAGTTTATTGAGTAGTGACAGGGGTGGCTGGAGGAAGGGGCTGACCAGTATCCAGAAATTATATCATCCCATCTACTTGATTATTAAAAGGCCCTGCTGCAGTCATTATTTGCTGAGTATTCACATGGGAGACAAATATCTTCAGATTTTTTTTTGCCCATTTAGAGAGGTGTGCCCACCTACCTCTTCCCCAAATTTCCTTAGAATCAATTTTCCAATCATGTTCTTTTCAAGCTCCTAACCATCCAGCCAAACCACTGGTTACATCCCATTGTACAGAAAGGTCTGTAATCTGGGCCTGAGTCTATGTTTCCTTTGTCAACTGTTTATAGGGAACTCTCTATAATATCGTAGGTACGGGCTGGTAGAGAGAAGTCAGTGTGGTAGGAATAAAAACCATGTGCATTTGGGCCACTTCTTCATGTAACTTACTGATACCTTCAGGGCCTGCCGGGGCCCAATCACATATATACCACTTCCATTTGATGATGGAGTACTACTGTATATACCCAACGTTATGGCTTGGTTGGTCAAATGACACTCAATTCATGATAAGCAGCTCAGCTCACACTGCATGGTAATTTGGTGACCCATGGTTAAGTGCTCAGTCTCTACTAAGGCCCAATGTCAGGCCAATCAGTTTCTTAAAAAGAGAGTTGTTATTGGCAATGAATGACAGGGATTTTCTCCCAAATCCTAAGGGCCTGCTTTGCAATTTACCTATAGGCTCCAGCCAAAGGCTCTAAACAGCATCCCTATCTGCTGCTGACACTTCAAGCACTGTTGAATTTGCTAGGTCATATGGCCCAAGTGACAGCACAACTTGCATTCAGCCTGGATCTGTTGCAGAACCTTCTTTTATTCTGGAACCCTACTCAAAATTAGCAGCTTTTCCAGCCACTCAGTAAATGTGCTGGAATAAAACACCCAAATGAGGAATATGTTGTTCCCCATGCCAAAGAGGCCCACTAGGTGTTGTGCCATACTTTTGGTTGTAGGAGGGGACAGATACAACAGCTTTTCCTTCATCTTAGAAGAGATGTCTCAACATGCCCCGTACCACTGGCTCCCTGGAATTTTCACTAGGTAAAGGGCATTTGAAGTTCTGTCAGATTTGTTTCCCACCCACTAGCATGCAAATGTCCTACCAATAAGTTTAGAGTCATTGCTACTTGCTCTCTAGGTCTAATCAGCATAATGTCATCAATGTAATGGGCAAGTGTGATATTATGTGTAAAGGAAAGGTAATCAAGGTCTCTGATAACTAAATTATGACATAGGACTGGAGAGCTGATATAGCCCTGAGGTAGGATAGTGAAAGTTGTCTTGCTGGCCTTGCCAGCTGAAAGCAACTGCTCCTGATGAGCCTTATTAATAGAGACGGAAAAAAAAGACATCTGCCAGATCAATAGCTACATGCCAACTACCAGGGGAAATGTTTTTTCAAGTAATAAAACCACATCTGGTACAGTAGCTGCAATTAGAGTCACCACCTAGTTAAGTTTGCCATAATCCACTCTCATTCTCCAAGATCCATCTGTATTCTGCACAAGCCCAAAAGAAGTGAATGAGGGCGTGGTGGAAATCACCACCCCTGCATCCTTCAAGTCCTTGATCATGGCACTAATCTCTAAAATCCATCCTGGATGCTTTTGGTTTACTATTTTCCTAGATAGAGGCAGTTCTAGTGGCTTCTACTTGATCTTTTCCACGATTGTAGCTCCAAATTATGGTCAGGGAACTAACATTGAGATTCTGCTAGCTGCTATCAATTCCAACTACGCATTCCAGAACTGGGGAAATGACAACTGGATGTGTTTGGGGACCCATTGGGCCCACTGTGAGACAAAACTGAGCTAAAGCTCCATTGATCACCTGATCTCCATAACCCTTTACTCTGACTGATGTGACACACTGATGTTTTTGTTCTTCCAGAATTAGTACAATTTCACAGTTACCCTGGTAAAAGGAAATAAGTCCCTGTGGGGAAGGCTGGAAGACAGATTAACAGTAAAAATTTTGGCTAGTATATCAGGACTCTTTCTCAAGGGAACCTGTCTTCCTCTTCTTTCAAGAATTTCTAGGCAAGTAATTCTAGGCAAGTAAACTGGATTTAATCTGGGAATTGATCGAGGGACCATGACTACATTTTTATGATTGAGGTTAGACTTTTGTTCACTTGACCTAGAACTTTTCTGCTTGTAAATATCAAGTAAAACTTAGCAGGATTCCTGTCTATTTCACCTCTACAAACATTATGAACAACTTTTGTTAACACAATAGATCTATGAATAAGACTATTCTGACTTCTGCTTTACCTCTGCTGTCCATTCTGGTAACCTCACTCACTTTGGCTTTGGTGGCTGAATACCACCACTCGGTACCTGCCATCCAGAATGTAATTATTCCCATTACATTTATGTTTCTGAATGGCTGAAGTTTCGACTCACAGGTCTAACCTACAGAGAAGAGCAACCATGAAGCTATTCAAAGATGCTGGGGCTCCCCTCCCAAGTTAATTTTCTTTCAATATTGATGAAAGGTGCCAGACTCTTCTAGTGTGGGAGATTAGTTCTTAAACGACAAGTTTATTCCAATACTTCAGTCTCCCTGTGCCTTTGAATCAATCATGTCTTCTACATTAAACCAAGGCAGGTCAGGCATTTCTAATTCACTCACTGTGAGCCGCCTTTGGTCCATGTTTTATCCAACCATCCAAAGTGTTATAGCCCTTCTAATTCTTTGAGCTGCAACCTTCTGTAATGCAGAATCTTTGATTAGTGACCCCATATCAATAAATTTGGTCTGATCCAACAGTATGTTGCTTCCATCATTATGCTAGACCCTTAGAATCTATTGCCATATGTGTTTACTGGATTCTTGTTTGTGTAAATTAGAAAACTCAATTAGATCTTTGGAGCATAGAACAACTTCTCATGGGTCACACTTTGTACCTTATCTTTAAGAGTCTCTTGGGTCTTGAGTCTACTTATAGGTCTAGATGTAAAGAGATAGTGGAGCAGGGCTCTGTAAAGCATCAGCATTGTCTTGCATAGCAGTTGCCTCAGGGGAGGTCATTATAGTTTTCTCAGTCAATACAGAGTTAATCTCCTCAAAGATGGGTGAAATGGCTGATATCACTCAGAGGAGAGAGATGATATCACTGGGGTGGGGGATGCCATTGCCACTGGGGACAGAGAGGCCCCTTCTACTAGGGATGAGTTGACCTCTTCTAGGGGTAAGGAGACCTCTTCCTTCTTCACTGGCAAAGAAAACGCATCAGAATTTAGGGACTCAATGTCCCCAGCAGGGACTTCCCATAATGGCCAATCACAATTTACAGGATCCCATTCTTTTCCAATCAATGTCCTTACATTAACAGTAGACACCTTGAGAGGCTGGGGGTTTAACTTGCATTGTAAGTCACCCAGTCATAGGCTGAGATGCTACATTTAATCTTCAGCAACCTCAGCCCTGCAACTACAGAATAAAAAAATCTCTTTCAGGGTACACATAGAAGACTCCAAGTCATGTATATGGTGCTTGAGCTGGAAATTTGAATCCCTGAGCTCATTCTTTTCTTTCACCACTTCATCCAGTAGCATGAGGAGCAACCAAGGAATGTCATAATATTTGTCAGCTTTCCAAAGCTACTTGAAAGTATTATATATACATCACCCAGCTTCCTACTTCTTATAAGTGGTTGGTTAAGAGTATCCAGGTGGGAATTGAACAATGAGAACACATGGACACAGGAAGGGGAACATCACACACTGGGGACTGTTGTGGGGTGGGGGGAGGGGGGAGGGAAAGCATTGGGAGATATACCTAATGCTAGATGATGAGTTAGTGGGTGCAGCGCACCAGCAGGGCACATGTATACATATGTAACTAACCTGCATATTGTGCACATGTACCCTAAAACTTAAAGTATAAAAAAAAAAAAAAAAAAGAGTATCCACTGTAGGCCAGGCATGGTTGCTCAAGCCTGTAATCCCAGCATTTTGGGAAGCTGAGGTGGGCAGATCACTTGAGCCCAGGAATTTAAGACCAGTCTGGGCAACATGGTAAAACCCCATCTCTTCAAAAAATACAAAAAATTTAGCTGGGCATGGTGGTGCATGCCTGTAGTTCCAGCTACTCAGAAGGCTGAGGTGGAAGGATGGCTTGAGCCCAGGAGGTGGAGGTTGCAGGGAGTCGAGATTGTGCCACCACACTGCAGCCTGGGTGAAAGAGTGAGACACTCTATCAGGAAAAACAAACAAACAAATAAACAAAACAAAACAAAAAAAAACCCGGATTACTCACTGAAAATATTTTGCATATCTCTATTACCCATATATGCCGTGAACTATCAGTGCTTTCTTTACTGATAAAAAGTCATTACCATCTTTAATAAAATTAAAAATCCAATTACAGAAACCCCAAACCAATTTAGAAAGCTCATTCTTAAAATCTGTTCCTCTAGTACCAGTTTTGGCACCAAAATCTGTATTCATAAAGGTTCTCCATAGAAACAGAACCAATGGAATATTGATAGATAGATATAGATAGATAGATAGATAATTATAAGGCATTGGTTTACACAGTTGTGGAGGTTGAGATGTCCCACAATCTGATGTTTGCAAGCTGGAGACATAGGAAAACCTGTAGCATATAGTTTGAAGCCTCAGAAACAGAAGTGCCAAGCACAGTAGAAGACTGATGTTTAGCTCAAGCAGTGAGGCAGAGTGCAAATTCAACCTTCCTCCACCTTTCTTCTATTTAGGCCCTTAACAGACTGAGTGATTCCCACCTGCATTGGGGAGAGCTCTCTTCTTTACTGAGTCTACTGATTCAAATGCTAATCTCATCTGGGAACGCCCTCATAGACACACTCAGAAATAATGTTTAACCCAATATTTGGGCACCCCGTGGCCCAGTCAAGTTGACACATAAAATTAATCAACACACTGGATCTGGACGTTTCTGCTTCCATTGTTCGGATTTCTTTACCATTATCTCATTCTTTTAATTTATCTTTTCTTAATGAATCCTGGAAGACTTCCTTAAACAGATCTTTGATTTCACTCATTTGTTCTCTGGTCCTACCTATTCTGCCAGTCAACCTATCTTTTCAGTTCTTTATTTCAACTATTTTTATTTTTCATATATATCTCTAAGGGATTGGTTTCTATGTTATTATTACCATTTCAATATCTTGCCTCATTTCTCTTAAGGTATTTATTATGCTTTAAGTTCTTATTTTGTCTGTTCCATTAAATATTCTTCCATTTTAAAAATAAGTTTTTATTTTTCATTTTTAGTAGTACTCATATTTTTCAGGTATATCTTTAGTTTTTCTATGAGTTCATTTTTTCCCTGTCAGTTACAAGCAGCCACAGTTTATGGTATATATCTCAAGACAGGAGACACAACCTAACACAGCTTGAGCACAGATTCTCCAGATAAATTTAGAAAGTATCTTTATATGTATTTATGTGGCAGGTATGTGTGTATCAACATAGGCAGTCCCTATGCTACAATTTAGAGCACTCCTATTATCCTTCCTCCTCTCCAACAGGTAACTTTACCTTCCCAGGAAGCTCTTAAATACCTCTTTTCTAGGATTTCTTTCTCTTTTTTTAAAAATGCCTAGCCTACAGTGGTTCAGGAGGGAAAAAAACTGCTCAGAGGGCAACCAGCTTGAGTTCACTTATTTTTATTTGTTGGAGTAAGAATGCTACACATGGCCAACAGCTTGAGTTCACCTGTTTTTATTTGCTTCTTACTCCAACAGAGCTTTAGAACCACCTAAATGGAAATCTTTAACTCAGTTTGGAACCCCTTATTTCTCAAGGGTGCCAATCTGGTGCTATGTTTCTTACTTGGCAATAGTGATGGGGCAAAGATATGTCTAGATGGGGCATTGTGATGGTTAATCCTGAGTGTCAACTCAATTGGATTGAAGGATACAAAGTACTGTTCCTGAATGTGTCTGTGAGGGTGTTGCCAAAGGAGATTAATATTTGAGTCAGTGGACTGGGAGAGGCAGACCCACCCTCAGTCTGGGTGGGCATCATTTAATCAGCTGCAAGCATGGCTAGAATCCATCAGGCAGAAGAAATTGAAAAGACTAGACCTGCTGAGTCTTTCAGCCTCCATCTTTCTCCTGTGCTGGATGCTTCCTGCCCTCGAACATCAGACTCCAAGTTCTTCAGCTTTTGGACTCTTGGACTTACACCAGTGATCTGCCAGGGGCCCTAGGGCCTTCGGCCACAGACTGAAGGCTGCATTGGCTATTGGCTTCCCTACTTTTGAGGTTTTGGGACTCGAACTGGCTTCCTTGCTCCTCAGCTTGCAGATCTCCTATTTTGGGACTTCACCTTGTGATTGTGTGAGTCAATACTCCTTAATAAACTCCTGTTTATACATACATCTATCCTCTTAGTTCTCTCCTCCTAGAGAATCCTAACACAGACATTTAAGAGGCATAAGTAGAAAACTCAGTATCTTATTAAGGAATCATGGTTCTTGGCCCTCAGCTATTCTGGACAACCATTCTCCACCCTTTCTCTTTTTGTCTCAACTACCTTTTATCTCTTCAGAGTTTTCACAGAGTTTTTATATTATGCTCTATCTATCAGTATCTATCAGTTTCCTTCTCACTCTTCTAGTATCTCCAGGACTGGTTTTGGGAGAGAGAAGTGGCAGGTACTTGCTGTTTGACTTTTGGCCTTAAGGTATACTTTAATATTTCCGTAATAACTTTATTTTGGGTTAATGAATGGCACAGTGATATTTAAGCACACAAGTTTTGTGAAGTGGAGACTATAAAATAAGAAGCTATTTTTATTAGGTCAAAAATATTTGTGTGTAATATATTTATGTTACAGATGTTTCTTATATTTCAAATTGTAAGGTAGGAAAAATTAATTTTCCAATTAGAGAAAAGTGGAGCCCTGTGGGAAGTTCTCTTTGAGCTCGAAAGCAGTCTTGTATAAGTCATTGGGAATTCATGACCATTGGTCAAGACATGTTTGGGAATGCCTGGTTGTTGACAAAAATGTTTTGCTGCTTTCAACGTAAGGCCATTTGAGTCATGCTCAGGACCTAGAAAAAACCTTATTTTTCAGAACATGATTTTCTCCATCCAGTTGGAGTATTAGTTAAGGGAACTTGTTCTCTATTAAGCTGCCATTAAAAGGGATGGCTCCAGACAAATTAAAAAAAGATATCTAGCCAAAGAAGATCAATGGGCAATCAATAAGTGGCTGGAAGGTTTGAAAACAGAATATAGAAGACCAAGTGCCAACTCTATCTGACAGGGCACCAGCCAGTGTTTTAGGGTGGTTATGTTTGATGCAGCCTCCCAATAACTCTAACTATTTAAGACATTGTGCATAGAACTCTTTTCAGGCCTATTAGGATTCTCCCAATAAGATACTCAATTTTCACCACAGAGATAGTGTCAAAATAATTTAATTAACTCAATAGTTTTGTTCAGTACTGTTATTAGTCCATTCTCACACTTATAAAGACATACCTGAGACTGGGTAATTTATGGAGAAAATAGGTTTAATTAACTCACAGTTCCACAAGCTGTACAGGAGGCATGGCAGGGGAGGCCTCAGGAAAATTACAATCATGGCAGAAAATGAAGGGGAAGCAGGCAAAACCTTTACATGGCAGAGCAGGAGGAAGAGAGAACAAAGGGGGAAGTGCTACACACTTTTAAGCAACCGGATCTTGTAAGAACTCATTCACTATCACAAGAACAACACGGAGGAAATCCACTCCCATGATCCAATCACCTCCCACCAGGCCCCTCCTCCAATATGTGGGGATTACAACTTGACATGGGTTTCAGGGGGGGACACAGAGCCAAACCATATCAAATACTTATTGTATGCACCATTTAAGTTGCTGAGAAGACCATAGTAGACAAAATCATAAATATACCTGCTCCCATAGAGTTTATGTTCTAGTAGTAGGAGAAAGACAAAACAAATAAAAAATGTTTGTGAGAATGTTATACATACTATTGAAGTCAATAAAGAAGGAAGGGTGGGGGTTCTCAGTCGTGGTGGATTTTCAATTTCAACTTGATCATAGTAAAACTATAGAGCTACGTCAACTGATGCTAAAGGGAATGCTTTTAACATTTTACCTTTATTTACAATATTTGCTATAGGATTTTGTAGATACATTTTATCAGATTTAGGATATTTTTCTTTTTTCCCTGTTTAATGCTTTAAAAAAACACACAAATGGATGTTGAATTTTATCCAGTGATTTTTGTTTTCATCTATTGAGGAGAGCATAATTTTTTATACTGTTAATGTGATAAATTATATTGATTGATTTTCTAATGTTAAATCAAGCAAGAGCATTTATGGAAATAGTCCAACGTGTGTGTGGTATATTATCAATTTTTTATATCGATGGGATTTGTTTGCTAATATTTTATTTAGAATTTTAACCTCTAGTTTCATAAGAGAGATTGACCTGTATTTTTCCTTTCTTATAACATCCTTGCTGGGTCTTCTTTTCAAGGCATGTTGGCCTCATAAAATTAGTTGAGAAATATTTACTCATTTTTATTCACTAAAATACTTTTTATAAAATTAGGATTATTTCTTATTTTCATATCAGCTTTACTGAGATATGCTTCACATGTCACACAATTTATCTTTTTAAAGTGGGCAATTCAATTTTTTAGTATATTCATAAAGCTGTATAATAATCACCACAATTTTAAAACATTTTCATCATATTCTAATGAAAAGAAACCCTATACCTTTAAGCTATCATCCTACCCCCACTCCTCACATCTTCCCACTACTCCTACCCGTAGGCAACCACTAATCTACCTTCTCTATATGTTTGCCTATTCTGGAGATTTCCTATGAATGGTATCACATTACATATGGTCTTTTGTTACCGGCTTCTTTGCTTAACATAACTTTTCAAAGGTTCACCTACACTGTAGCATGTGTCAGTACTTCCTTTTATGGCTGAATAATATTCCATTACATAGATAGATGTACTACTTTTTGTTTACACCATTCATAAACTGATGGAAATTTGGGCTATTTGTACTTTTGGGTTTTTATGAATAATGCTATAAACATTTGTGTGTAGGTTTTTTATGTGTATATAGATTTTTATTTCCCCTGAGTATATACCTAGAAATAGAATCTATCATCACCTGGCAACTCCATGGGTAACTTTCTGAAGAACTGCTAGAATGGTTTCAAAAGTGGTTGCACAACTTCACATTTCCACCAGCAATTTATGAGGTTTCCAGTTCTTCACATTCTCACGAACAATTGTAATTATGTCTTTTTAACTTTAGCCATTCTAGTAGACTTGGAGTGGTATCTACTTGTGGTTTTTATTTGAATGTTATGAATCACCAATGATGGTGAGTATCTTTCTTGTACTTATTGGACATTAGTGTATCTTCGCATAAATGTCTATTCAGATAATTTGTACATTTTTAATTAGGACGCCTGTCCTTTTATTCCTGAGTTAAAGAGTACTTCATATATTCTGTCTTTATGTGTTTTGAGTATCAGAGTAACACTGGCCTCATAGACTAAGTTGGGAAGTAAAGAAGGAAATTCTTCCATATGCAACAACATGGATGGACCTGGATGAGGTTATGCTAAGTGAAATAATTGTCACAGAAAGACAATATTGCATGATTCCACTTATATATGGTATCCAAAATAGTCAAACTCATGAAAACAAAAAGTAGAATGGTGATGTCTAAGGATTGGGGCTGGTGAAATTGGAAGTTGCTATTCAATGGGTATAAAGTTTTAGTTATACAAGATAAATATGTTCTAATGAGATAGCATCTCACATCATTAAAAATGGCTATTAAAAAGTCAAAAAATAGCAGGTGTTAGTGAGGTTACAGAGAAAAAAGGACCAATCCCATTACTGGGTATATACCCAAGGGAAAATAAATCATTTTACTAAACAGACTCATGTATTCATATGTTAATTACAGCACTATTTATAATAGTAGAAATGGAGTCAACCTAAATATCCACCAATGGTGGCGTTGATAAAGAAAATGTGGTACATATACGTCATGAAATACTACACAGCCATAAAAAAGAATGAAATCATGTCCTTTGAAGCATAAGGGGTGCAGCTGGAGGCCATTGTTCTAAAAAAATTAACACAGGCACAGAACAGCAAAACCACATGTTAAGTGGGAGCTAAATATTGAGTACACAGACACAAAGATGGGAACAATAGACACTGGGGACTACTAGAGGAGGGAGGATGGGAGACAGGCAAGGGTTGAAAAAGTAACTATTGGATACTGTTGTCACTACCTGGGTGATGGGATCATTTGTACCCCAAACCTCAGTGACATGCAATTTACCCATGTAACAAACTTGCACATGAACACCCTGAACCTAAAATAAAAGTTGGAAAAATAAAATAAAATAATTCCCTCTGAAAAAAGAAAGAACACGAAGAGTGCAAAGAGAATACTTGTCTTTTTAGAGATTAAGAATTATAAAAGTCCATTAGTAAAAGACCTGTTGCACAACATTGTTCCTGTAGTTAACAATGCTGCATTCTATACTTAAAAATTTGTTAAGCAGGTAAGTCTCATGTTAAGTGTTCTATTCACAATAAAAAAGTTGGAAAGTGGTCCCTGTTATATTTTTTTGGAAGAGTTTATTAGTAATTTTTATATTTTTTCACTGTTTTCTAGAATTTACCAGTGAAGCTATTTGGGCTTGGTTTTTCTGTGTGTGTAGTTGTTGGATTACTAATTCAACCTCTACTTGTTATAGCTCTATTTGTATTTTCTATTTCTTCTTGAGCCATTTTTAAATAATTTATACCATTCTAGGAATTTGTCCATTTTATCTAGATATTTATTATATTGGCATACAATTGTTCATACTATTCATTTATAATCCTTTTTATTTCTGTGAGTCAGTAGTAATATCCCTTGTTTCATTTCTGATTTTACTAATTTGAGTCTTCCTTTTTTTCTTAGTCTACCTAAAGGTTTATCGATTTTATTCGTGATTTCAAAGAACCATTTTTGGTTTTATTGTTTTGTGTCTTCTTTCTATTCTCTATTTCATTAATCCCCCCACCCCATTTTTATTATTTTCTCTCTCTGGTTGTTTTAGGTAGTTTAATCTTTTTTTCTCAATGTCTTAACATGCAAGGCTAGATTATAGATTTGACATCTTTCTTATTTTTAGTATAGGCACTTACAACTATATTATCTCATTGTGACCAGAGAGCATACCTTGTCTTATTTCAATTCCTTTAAATTTATTGAAGTTGGTTTTATGGTCTAGCATCTGTTCTGTTCTGGCCCATGTGAATTTTAGAATTCATATTCTGCAGTTGTTGGGTTATATAGATGTCCGTTAGATCTAGTGGTTTGTAGTGTAACAGGGAATCTGCCCCGATATTCACGTAGGTTCTTTTCTATTTTCCTTAAGCGTTGGCCAGCTTGAGAAATAAAGGGACAGAGTACAAAAGAGAGAAATTTTAAAGCTGGGCATCCGGGGGAGACATCACATGTCAGTAGTTTCTGTGATGCCCCACAAGCCACAAAAACCAGCAAGTTTTTATTAGGGATTTTCAAAAGGGGAGGGAGTGTGCGAATAGGTGTGGGTCACACACATCAAGTACTTTACAAGGTAATAGAATATCACAAGGCAAGTGGAGGCAGGGCGAGATCACAGGACCACAGGACCGGGACGAAATTAAAATTGCTAATGAAGTTTCCGACACAACTGTCATTGATAACATCTTATCAGGAGACAGGTTTTGAGATCAACCAGTCTGACCAAAATTTATTAGGTGAGAATTTCCTCTTCCTAATAAGCCTGGGAGTGCTATAGGAGACTGGGGTCTATTTCACCCATGCAGTCTTGACCATAAGAGACAGGCACACCTGGCGGGGGGCTGCTGTTTATAAGCCTATACCTCCAGGCACGTATTCTCTTTCCCAGGGATGTTCCATGCTGAGAAAAAGAATTCAGCAATATTTCTCCCATTTGCTTTTGAAAGAAGAGAAATATGGCTCTGTTCTGCCCGGCACACCGGCGGTCAGAGTTTAAGGTTATCTCTCTTATTCCCTGAACAATTGCTGTTATCCTGTTCTTTTTTCAAGGTGCCCAAATTTCATATTGCTCAAACACACATGCTGTACAATTTGTGCAGTTAATGCAATTATTACAGGGTCCTGAGGCAACATACATCCTCCTCAGCTGACAGGATTAAGAGATTAAAGAAAAGACAGACACAGGAAATCACAAGGGTATTGATTGGGGAAGTGATAAGTGTCCATGAAATCTTTACAATTTATGTTTAGAGACTGCAGTAAAGACAGGCGTAAGAAATTATAAAAGTATTAATTTGGGGAACTAATAAATGTCCATGAAATCTTCACAATCTACGTTCTTCTGCCATGGCTTCAGCCGGTCCCTCCATTTGGGGTCCCTGACTTCCTGCAACAGTAGTGTTATTCAAGTCTTCTGTTTCTTAATTGATCTTTTGCCTAAATGTTCTATCCATTATTGAAATTGTGGTACTGAGGCTGGGCGCAGTGGCTCATGCCTGTAATCCCAGCCCTTTGGGAAGCTGAGGAGGGTGGATCACTTCAGGTCAGGAGTTTCAGACCAGCCTGGCCAACATGGTGAAACCCTGTCTCTACTAAAAATATAAAAATTAGTTGAAGAGCATCTGTATTTCCTTAATGGTTTCTTTAGGGCTCACCTCATACATCTTAATCTCCCAGGATCTACTTTAGATTTATATTAACTTAATTCCAGTGAAATAAAGAAACATTACTCATATACATCTCTATTTCCTTTCCTCATTTTGTGCTATTGTTGTTATATAGATTACATATCAATGTGTTATAAACTCAACAATATGTTGTTATAATTCTAGGTTTTTTAAAAAGCTGAGAGGAGGAAAAAAGCAAGAATATATTAATAACTTTTATTTATTATTTTACCTTCTTAATTTATTGCCTGGTGTCATATCTTAATCCAGTATAACTTCACTTCCTCTCACCCTTTTAATGATATTATTAATAAAAATACTGAATTTATATATGTAGTCTCAACAATTATGTATGTGTGTGTGTATATATATATAACTTCACTTCCTCTCACCCTTTTAATGATATTATTAATAAAAATACTAAATTTATATATGTAGTCTCAACAATTATGTATGTGTGTGTATATATATATATACATATATATACACACACATACATACACACACACACACATATATACAAATTTCATACAATTGCTTTATAAATCAGGCCAGAGAAGTAAGGAGGAGCAATATGCATTTATATTGTCTTGTTATATTTGCCTAATTATCTTTATAGATGCTGTTTTTTTTTTGTTCAATAGTATTGCTGTCTGGGGTCATTTGGTTTCAGTTCAATGAGCTTCCTTTTTAATACCATAATAAGTGTTATAATATGGGTCTCCTAACATTGAATTCAGTTTTTGTTTATCTGGGAATGCCTTTATTTCTGTTTCATTTCTGAAAGATAGTTTTGCTGGTTATAAGATTCTTGGTTGAGTGTACTTTTCTGTGGGCACTTTGCATATGCTATCCACTGCTTTCTGGCCTTCATTGTTTCTCATAAGAAGTCAGCTGTTAATCTTCTTGGAGTTTTTTTTTTTTTTTAAGTGGTAAGTCATTTTTCTCTTGCTGATTTCAAGATTTTTCTTTTTTCTTTGGATTTTTGCATATTTGTGGTGCTATTTCTATATGTGTATCCTATTAGAAGTTCATTGAGCTTCTTGGATGTACAGATTAACACTTTTCTTCTAATTGGGAAGTTTTCAGCCATTTTTGTGGGGAGTATCTTTCTACTCCTTTCTTTTTCTTCTCTCTCTCTCTAGGACTTCCATCATGTGTAGGTTGGTATCCTTTATAGTATTGCATTTTGATGATACTCTGTTCATTTTTCTTTAGTTTTTGTTCTCTATGTTTTTCAGATTGTATAGTTTCTATTGATTTAACTTAAGTTTACTAATTCTTTCCTCTGACAGTTCAAATCTACTGTTGAAACCTTATGGGTTTTTTTTTTTCATTTATTATGATTTTCAACACCAGAATTTCCATTAGGTTCTTTTTCAAGTAATTTATATTTATTGATAGTCTCTATTTGGATGAGGCATTGCCATCATGCCTTCCTTTACTTATTTAAGCATAGTTTACTTTAGCTCTTTGAGCATATTTACAATTGCTACTTTAAAGTATTTGGCTTATCTCACAAGCAGTTTCCATAATCTGCTTATTTTTTTCTATCTGTGAGTCAGCCTTTTCTTTTCTTATTTATTTATTTTTTTTTTTAGATGGAGTCTCACTCTGTTGGCAGGCTGGAGTGCAGTGGCATGATCCTGGCTCACTGCAACCTCTGTCTCCCAGGTTCAAGAGGGTCTCCTGCCTCAGCCTCCCAAGTAGCTGGGACTACAGGTGTGCACCACCACGCCCAGCTTAGTTTTGTAATTTTAGTAGAGATGGGGTTTCACCATGTTCGTCAGGATGGTCTTGATCTCTTGGCCTCATGATCCACCTGCCTCAGCCTCCCAAAGAGTCAGCCTTTTGTATTTCACTGTATGTTTCCATTTTTTTTGTTGCTGAAGTCTGGACATTTTAGATTATATATTGTAGCAACTGTGGCTACTGGTTCCCCCATTACAGGGCTAGTTATTGTTACTAGTCTATTTGTTTAGTCACTGTTCACCACTGGTTGGACTATTTCAGTGAAGTCTATTTCCTCTGCAGTGTAAAGTCTCTGATGTTTCTCCTTAGGAGGCACATTTTGGGGCATATGTACAGTCAGTCTGGGATGACCATGGTTTTAACAGGCTAGATTTGACCCTTTTTCTACAATAATACCCATGTGTTAAACTCAAATACTGCTGTATGATTACTGTTTTCTACAATGTTCTGTGCCATATATTTCTCCACAGGCTGATCTGATTAAATTTGGTCTCTTTTGAAGGGATAGTTTTTGATATCAGTATTTGAGAATTCTTCTTACCTAAGGAGAGCTCTTCTTAGTTGCCACTTTCCCAATTCTTCATGGTTCTATAGCTGGCCTATGGTTTAACTTGCATGTCTTACAAAGCCATGAGTCTCCTCTTAATTGCCTTCCATTAAAACTTCCTTATGTTTAAGAGTTCTCTTGGGATTGAACTTCCCAATACTCTGTCTCAAATAAAGCCATTTGTTTTGGGGAGAGCTTTGTATCTCTATTATTTTTACCTGCCTCTTCCCCTAGTCTAAAGATTTAAGCTATGGCTCTGGAGCAGCTGGTGAAGACAGTGGCACATTTCTTCTTTATAACTGATATTCTGTTTAAGAGCAGGAAACTGAGCAAGCAGCATTGTTATCTAGTCTTCACAGTTTGATTCTCCTAGAAAGAAACCTCTGCATTATAAGAAATTCAGGACAAAAGTGAATGAGGTCTCATTATTCCCAGAATGCCATGCCTTAGGTAGAAGGTCCATGAAACAAGTAAAGGCTGGGAAAAAAAAGGAACTCCTTACCTCTTCAGCACATTTGTTTGGAATGTAGCTTCTACCACAGTTAGCTTGGGGGCCATATGAGAATTGCTGGTATTCTTTTCCTCACAGAAAGATACTATTGCCCTCAACTAGAAGCTGGGGGAGAGGAACCCCTGTGTTCTTGGCTACATGTTTCTGGAATGGAGTTTTCATTACATTGGCCTGATCGTGAAAGGAAATAAATAAGATGTGATTAAAATGCTAGATTCTGTGATGGTTAATATTGAGTGTCAACTTGATTGTATTGAAGTATGCAAAGTATTGTTCCTGTGTGTGTCTGAGGGTGTTGCCAAAGGAGATTAACATTTGAATCTGTGGACAGGGAGAGTCAGACCCACCCTCAATCTGGGTAGGCACCATCTAATCAGTTGCCAGTGTGGCTAGGATAAAAGCAGGCAGAGGAGCATGGAAGGACTAGAATGGCTGAGTCTTCTGTCCTCCATCTTTCTCCTGTGCTGGATGCTTCTTGCCCTTGAACATCAGACCCCAAGTTCTTCAGCTTTTGGACTTTTGGTTTGCCAGGGGCTCTCAGGCTTTCAGCCACAGACTGAAGGCTGCATTGTCAGCTTCCCTATTTTTGAGGTTTTGGGACTCGGACTGGCTTCCTTGCTCCTCAGCTTTCAGACGACCTATTGTGGGACTTCACCTTATAATTGTGTGAGTCAATACTCCTTAATAAACTCCCTTTCATATTTACATCTATCCTATTAGTCCTGTCCATCTAGAGAACACTGACTAATACAGATTCTTTCTGTTTTTAAGAAATTTTAATAGATTGACTGAAATGAGTGTTTCTTCATTTTCTGTATATCCTTAGGACTATTTACAGAGGCTTCAGATGATTGGTTTTTGTTTGTTTGTAGAGGTGGAGTCTCACCATTTTGCCCAGGCTAGCCTCAAACTCCTGCCTTCAAGCAGTTCTTCTGCCTCAGCCTCCCAAAGTGCTAGGATAAGCCACCACACCTGGCTGATTGTTTTTAAAATTTTTTTTACTAGCATCATCGAGGAAATGCCTGCAGAGCTCCTCACATTGTCATTCAAGAGGCAGAACTGATATTTCTTTCTTAAATGTTTGATACTATTTAGAGGTGAAACCATTTAGACGTTGGATATGTATTTGTCAAAAAGGATTTAATTATATATTTAACTTTTAAATAGATACTGGAATTAGCTTCTGGTAAGTTGTGCTCTATCTAGGATTGTGTATGTTTTATCTGAATTTTCCATTTTATTACTTTATAATTCACTCTGGATCTATTAATACCTATGATCTGTAGTGATGTGTTTATTTTTCATATCTGTTTGCTGATTATCTGTTTAATCTCTTTTGCTCTAATTTTCTGATTTTTCTTCAATAGCAGCGTTGTTCTTATGTAATAGTCCAGAAGCAAGCAGTCCAAGAGTGCTATCCTCAGCATGGCTTCAGTATTTGTTCTGGTACTCATCATCTGTTATCCAATAGGAAAGAAAAAACAGTGTCCAAGAGAGTGCTTGCCCAACCATTTGCGCTTAGGGCTCAGAAGTGGCACCCATCATTTCTTCTCATTTAGTCACTTCAACATATCTATCCGCAAAGAGGTCTTGGAAATGTAGTTTTACCTGCATAATCATATGTCTTGCTAAAACTCTATTACTATAGAATAAAGAAAAATGTGACATTGTGAGATAACTAGTGCTTTGATTTATTTTTGTCTCCATGGTCCCCAAATATGTTTAAACTTTCTTTATCCATTACCTAGAACATAGTCACATCCTTACTAAGGAGGATCAAAGATTAAAAAAATACTATCTGTGCAGACAGACTTCTTTATCAGGACTGACTTCTCATGGTCTCACATATATTTCCCTCCTACACACCAAATATAGAATGGTGGGATAGAAATAGGGTAACTGAAAAAAAATTATTCAGAACAAGGAATAAGTAAAGACAAGATGGTAATTATACTTATAACCATTATTATGGTTATATTATTATTATACTTATAACCATTATTATGGTTATATTATTATTATACTTATAACCATTATTATGTCATGAGCCTTGGACAAGAATTTCCAAGGCTCAAAACTTTTTTTTTTTTTTTTTTTTTTTTTGAGACTGAGTCTCGCTCTGTCGCCCAGGCTGGAGTGCAGTGGCGGGATCTCGGCTCACTGCAAGCTCTGCCTCCCGGGTTCACGCCATTCTCCTGCCTCGGCCTCCCAAGTAGCTGGGACTACAGGCGCCCGCCACTACGCCCGGCTAATTTTTTGTATTTTTAGTAGAGACGGGGTTTCACCGTTTTAGCCGGGATGGTCTCGATCTCCTGACCTCGTGATCCGCCCGCCTCGGCCTCCCAAAGTGCTGGGATCAAAACTTTTTTAGTTAAATCATGTGCTGAGGTCTAATTGTTTGTGACCCCCAAATTCATGTTAAAATCTAATTACCAATGTAGTAATATCAAGTGGTGAGGTTTTTAATAGATGCTTAGGTCATGAGGGCTCTTCCTGCATCAATGGGATTAGTGCTTTCATAAAAGTGACCTGAGGGAGCTTGTTTGCCCCTCCTGCTGTATGAGGGCACATAGAAAGCATCTTCTGTGAAGCAGAGAGCCCTCAACAGACACTGACTCTTCTGGTGCTTTGATCTTGGACATCTCAGCCATTAGAACTGTAATAAATACATTTCTATTGTTTATAAACTACCCAGTCTCAGGCATTTTGTTATAGCAGCCTGAACGGACTAAGACACTGTGGTTCTATTCTCTGGTAGAAACATTCTTTCCTCTTGTTCTGTCAAGTCTCTCGTTTTTCATTCTCAGAAGTCCTTCCCTGTCATTTATCTTCAAGAAACACTTCTGATGTGGACTTGTAGAGTATGCCTGTCATAAATTTTATTTTCCCCAAATTGCCTCAACAATATTTTTAGTTCCACGTGCTCTTCAAGAAACTTAACATACACCATTAAGGAGTGGAGTCTATTTCCCCTCCTTTTGAAACTGGGCAGGCCTTTGAGACTACCTCAACAAACAGAATGTAATAAAAGTAACATTGTGTACTTTCTGAGACTAGGACTTTTGGGATTTTGTTTTGTTTTGTTTTGTTTTGTTTTGTTTTGTTTGAGACAGGGTCTCACCCTGTCACCCAGGCTGCAGTTCAATGGTGTGATCTTGGCTCACTGCAGCCTTGATCTCCTGGGCTTAAGTGATTCTCCCACCTCAGTCTCCTGAGTAGCTGGTATTACAGGTGTGAGCCACCATGCCTGGCTAATTTTTTCGATTTTGCATAGACAGGAGTTTGCCATGTTGCCCTGGCTGATCTCAAACTCCTGAGCTCAAGTGATCCACCACTCTCAGCCTACCAAATACTGGGATTACAGGTGTGTGCCACTGTGCGCATCTGCGAAGCTAGGTCTTAGAAGGCGATATAGCTTTTGCTTGGGTCTTTGTCTTAGAACATGCATTATGGGAGTTTTGGGTGAGCATATAAGAAGACCAACTATTCTGAAGCCAACATGCTAGAGAGAACAAAGTAGAGAGAATACAGAGATAGTTTAGGAATCTCATCTATACCAGTTCCCAGCTGTTTGATTTTTCTCGACTCAGGTAGGTGAGCCTTCTGATGATTATAGTGTTCAGGCTTTGAGGTGCTCCAGCTGCTGCTGAATAGAGCAGAGATGAGTTGTCCCTACAAAGCTGTACTCAAACTGAACACTAATGATTAAAATATGTGTTTTAAGGCATTAAATTTTGAAGTTGTTAGTTACACAATGAAAGATAACTGGAACCATGCTATTCTTGGGAGCTGTACATCTTTTGTCACCTACTGCCTGTTTGCTTTTAGGAACAAGTAATCATAATAGAAGCAGATTTGATATTTTCTTAGATAAAACACTGTATTTGTAAAACACGGCTAAGCCTTCTCTTCCTCTTTCTAAACAAATGGACTTAACAAAGATGTGGTAAAGAGTTAACAAAGATGTGGTAAAAGAAATAGAAAACATGATTGTGGCACAATTGTGGCACAGGAGTTGTGATTTGATTCTAGAGCCATTTAAAATTAAAATGTAATATTTTTTGAGACAAAGTCTAACTGTGCCACCCAGGCTGGAGTGCAGTGATGCAATCACCACTTACTGCAGCCTCGACATCTTGGGCCCAGGTGATTCTTCTTCCTCAGCCTCCTCGGTAGCTGGGACTACAGCCATGTAAGGAAGTTGGATTTCTTAGTCACTACGTGGAAATGAACCACAAGAAAAGCCACACAATTTACCTGCAGCTGTAATAAGTCCAAGATATATAATTTCATATGAAGTTGTGCAATATACAGTACAGGAAAGAGAACAAAGATAAATATTCAGAGTATAAAGTGGGAGTGCCAGCCATGTGCCAGATTTTAGTATCAGTCAGGTGATGGCTTCAGGAGTCAAGAGGCACAATCAACACACAAAATGTTTATTTGCAAAAAGAAAGAAGAAAAGTCCCACTTGACCTGGAAATTATGTTGTCTAAAGTCTTTGTGACTAGTTGGAAGTCCCAGACTGTGTTCTTTTCACTGTCCTGGTAACCACATCCATTGCTGCCAAGAAAATTAAGTCTCTTTTTCTTTATTTTTGAGAACAAATAGGCATATTGGAGAAGAAATAAAAATTCACCTACCCATGACTTTCCTTAACAAATTCCTTTAGAACTTGGTCCCCACAGGCAAAATTTAAATTAAAATATTCAGTACATGAGACATGGAGTTGTAGATGTATTCCCAGGAGAAATTGTCCCCTAAGATCTCCATGTCAGTATAATCTCCTTCAAGACATCAATCACCAGACCCTTAAATCTCGATCTGGCTTTATTCAAGCTCACTGTAGTGGGAACAACCTGGTGCCTGAGCAACCCTGTTTACTTGATTTGCTTTTATTTTAATGAGGTCTTCAAGGACCCCCTTACTGGGGGCCCTTGCCCTCATAGTGATACTGCTGCATTCCTTTAGTCAGAATGATCTCAGCTAATACTCTGTGATAACAGGAGTGATATTTTTAAATAGGTTGAGCGCTTTGCCAAATATTGAAAGTCCTTTATCTTATTTCATTCCTAAGCCACAGGACTACATATTACTAATTTAATTAAAAAGATATAGAAAATGAGGCTAAGAGAAGTAAAGGAACTCATTCATTTTCTTCAAATCTGAAACACAAACCTAGAATTTAGACTTTTGAGATTTGGCATGGAGTGCCAAGGAATGCACTTATGGACAGAATGGTATATTCAAAGGGATGAAATAAGATTCTTCTAGACCCAGTGCAAAGGGGAAGCTATAACTTGCTTCTCCTAGTAAGTCTCCCTCCAACCTCACCCCATAAGGATGCTGGTGGTTATGGTGCCGCAACTGGAGAAGGGAAATTGGTACACAGAGAATTGGGATTGCCTTCCCCAGGGAAGCCTTAAAAAGTATTGTATTTGGCTGGGTGTGGTGGCTCACACCTGTAATCCCAGCACTATGGAAGGCCGAGGCGGGCAGATCACGAGGTCAAGAGATCCAGACCATCCTGGCCAACATAGTGAAACCCTGTCTCTACTAAAAATACAAAAATTAGCTGGGTGCAGTGGCGCACGCCTGTAGTCCCAGCTACTCGGGAGGCTGAGGCAAGAGAATCACTTGAACCAGGGAGGTGGAGGTTGCAGTGAGCCAAGATTGTGCCACTACACACCAGCCTGGTGACAGA